>NC_000020.11:2187547-2339062 GCF_000001405.40 Homo sapiens | reverse complement strand
GCGGAGCTCTAATACCACACGGTCCTTGCTCAGTGATCAGAACAGATGAAGGCTGGGTTTGGGGTCAGAAAAGCAATTTGGACTATTTATTCAGACCAAAAGATGAAAGCTGTTGTGTTTCTGCCAAGAAACAGCCGTAATTCATTCTGGGCAGACAAGTCATCTCTTTGCGCCTCAACTTCCTCATCTGGTAAAGAAGGACAATCATCTCTTCCCTCCCAGAAGGGGTCAAATGAGATCAAGGATGGGGAAGAAAGCATTTTGGACATAGAAATGGACATTTTATGGCTATTGGATTTCTTCTTCTTTTGAGGATGACCGGAGGTTGCTGGGTTTTGTTGTTGCTGTGTTTTGTTTTTCTTGTCACTAATCCTCAGAGCAACCATTTTACAGTGACAGAGCTGAGGTTCAGGCTGATTCAATAACCTGGAACATTCACACACAAGGAAACAGCAGAGCCCAGCTGGATCTAAAGCCTTTGCTGTTTCTGATAGGTCTGCAATACCTCCCAGTAATTTGTGAGTAATTGAAGCATTTTACACATCATGGTCTATATTTTCATTTCTTCCATGAAACTCATTTAAGTGTATGACATAATTTGAAGAGTGCAGCATAATTTTATGCTATTGGGTTATAAGAAAGCTATACAGATGTTGCCACATTTTTCATGGTGATATTTAATTTGAGATTTCCATGCTTTTTTTTCTTTTTTTAATGCCGCTTACCACTCTCTCCTATTGACCCAACTCTGTAAATGTACCCAGAGGAAAGGATAAAAGCCACTAAAAACCTGAGTTTGCTTGTCACAGATGATGGATCAATTGGGAGGACATCACCCTTTGGAAACAATGTTCAGATTGTTTTTGGCCTGGTTTTGTGGTCTAAGGTCCTCAGTGCTAATTGCCAGTCAGTACCAGGTTAGATAATGGGGTTTTACCCAAATTATTATCTTTTCATACAGATCACCTTCTCCAGTTTAAAAATCGGTGCCCTGCTCTGAGTGAGCTAGGCATTGATCCGTTCAATAGAGACAAGAATGTCTCGATTAGGTGAAGGCTTAGGTGGAGGAAAGAACTTGCCTCGAAGAAGGAAGATCAGGAGTCATTTAAAAAGATTAAATTTTTAAAAAGAGTCAGTGATGGCACATTTCTAGCCTTATATATTCTGATTTCCTTTCTAAAGATATTGTAGTATCTTAAAGATAAGTAGACTTGCCATGGAAATCTGGAAGATGTATAGCAAAAGTGTTGAATAAAAGATAATGCTGGAAGAAGGTTTGAGGACATTGGATAAGGGAACATAATGGGGAATACACTGGGGAAAAACACTAATTTTTTTTTTTTTTGACGGAGTCTCACTCTGTCAGCCAGGCTGGAGTGCAGTGGTGTGATCTCGGCTCACTGCAACCGCTGCCTCTCGGGTTCAAGCAATTCTCCTGCCTCAGCCTCCCAAGTAGCTGGGATTATAGGTGCCCGCCACCATGCCTGGCTAATTTTTTCTATTTTTAGTAGAGACGGGGTTTCACCATGTTGGCCAGGCTGGTCTTGAACTCCTGACCTCAGGTGCTCCACCTGCCTCGGCTTCCCAAAGTGCTGGGATTGCAAGAGTGAGCCACCGCGCCTGGCCAAAAACTAAGTTCTTTTAAACACTGATCACTTTAGTACAGAATGTTCTCATAACTGAACTGGCAGCCACCCAGTATCATTTTCTAGCCTCAGGAGTTGGAATGGGCACTCTGCTGTCCACCATGTCTAGAGAGATGGGGAGTGTTTCTCAGAAATGTCTTGTGAAGCAGGAGAGGCTGTCACACGCAGGGCACAAGCCTGGACTGACTTTCCTGTGCAGGGAAGAATGCAAGTCCAGAGCCAAGGGGATCTGTTCCAGTCATGCCCCGAGCAAGGGGCTATTTCTCTTTTACAAATAGTGGCTATCCACTAAGACATTGTGCTAAGGGAGACAGTGATGAACTCAGAACAGAGGTAATGCCTGCCCTCATGGAGTTTACGGTTGGGTAGGGATTCACAACCAAATAATTGCACAAAGAAGGATAATATTCCAGCTGGGACAAATGCCTTGAAGGAAAAGGACAGAATGTTCTGAGGGTGTATAATTGAGATGAATTTGGGAGCCTAATTTGGGAGCTCAGGAAAGGCTTCCCTGAGGAAATGACACTCTGCAAGGGAAGTAATTTATTGTCCCAGTGACAGAGTTGGAGCAACTGAGACTCAGATTAAGGGACCTGCTCAGTGTCACCACTGATCAATGGAGGGGTTTAGATACAATGCCAGATCCATTTGGTTACATGGCCCAAGGCCTGAACGACTGCCCTTCTCAGCCCCCAGACTGGCTGCCCAGTCACTGACTCTCTAGCCCCTAAGGTAGGGGACCAACTCCCCCATCCTGAAGCACAGTCCAAACTAACCAGGACAGTAAAAGGGTGCAATTGCAGGCCAGCTATGTGGGAGAACCAGGCCCGGCATCAGAGCCAGCATCCTAGATCCCCCTGCCCTTTCTGAGGTCAGGAACGCCTGCAGCCAGCTTACAGCTTAAGGAGGGGCGGGCCAGGGCAGCCATGATTATCTGGCTCTTCCTGGTTTCTGGGGCTTGGGAAACCTGTGGCATTGTGATTGTACAGGGAAAGGCAATTTCTATCTAGACAACTGGGGCAGACGGTGGGTACAGCAGATGAGAGAGGGCAGGGCCTGGCCCATGAGGCTCTTGATTGGGCCCCAAGGGAAAACCTCATGTTCTCTGTCCGTTTGTCTGCCTGTCCTTGTCCAGCCTTTTACCCTTCAGACCTATACTCCCTGGTTCCAGCACCCTTCACCCTGGGCTGTGGGGATCAGGCACAGGGGCTACAGGGTGAGGGACAGGCTTGGAGTCCGCACAGGTGCTCCTACCAGTGCTGAGGAAGACACAGAGTGGCACGAGGGGCCTCCCACAGACCTGCAAGCCCCACCTTCCTGGGCTCCTGAGAAGGAGCCTGGGAGTGAATGCTGCAAAGTAAAGGAAGCCCTATGAGCAGAGAAAGAGGGGTCTTTGTTCTCAGCCACTTTGAAGATGCTGTTGCTGGCTGGTGATGTACCAGGACGCCTTGGAGGGGCATGGGCTGGGAGTCCCAGGTTCTGAGGCCTAGCCTTGACTCTGGCGGTGGCCAGCTGTTCCCTTCTCTCTGGGCCTTGGTTTACTTGTGTGAAATGAGAGTACAGGAGCATGTGACTAGGCTCCTAAGAGTCCACAATTCTGTAACTCCAGGGTCTAGACAGGGGAGAGATGCTGTGGGTCAGGCCTATTTCTGATCTGTCCATGACAGAGGGCTGGGCTGTGGCCCTGGCACATCAGCTGGCTGTGTGTGAGACCTACACCTGTGCCTGTCTGTGATTCTCAAGCCTGGCATGGCCCAGAACACAGCAGATCTCAAGCCTGGCATGGCCCAGAACACAGCAAATGCTCAGTAGCTGAGTGAGAAGGGAATGAGCTGAAAAGAGTCCCCCAGGCCCCTCCTCAGCTGATGCCCCCAGTGGTTCTGAACTAGAATCTGAGAAGCAGCCAGGCAAATGCACGCGTTTATCTCACCAGACAGGGAGCAGGAACACGGGCCTGAGTGGGAGCTCTTGGCTATTTGGCAGAGGCTGGACCGAAGCTGGGCCCAGTTCTCTGCCCCTCCCAGCAAGAAAAAACTCTCCTTTGCCCTCTGGGAGAGCTGTGGCTCACAGGGACAGTGGGGCTCCTGGGAGCTGGGCTGGCTGGGGGCAGAACCCCTTCCCACAGGATGGGGAGCCCCATTACCTCCAGGGTCAAGGTGGGGTTGTCCAGGATGATGTCCCGCTCCACCACCACCTCAGACTCATCTGGGACCTTGCACACCGCTGTGATCCGGATCATGTTGTCTGACTTCAGGTACTTCTCATACTGAGCGTACGAGATCTTTATGGGATGTTCTGCCTCTGGAAGGAGAAGCCAGGGGATCCGAGTGAGGGGGAGTGGGGATGGCTTCTGAACCTTCCTCAGAACAGATGCCAAGCCAAGGCAGGGTGAGCTGGTGGGAGGATCTGCAGCCCCGGGCTTGACTGAGCCCTCCTTGGGCCAGGTCCTGTGGGAAGCGTCCCCCGGTCAGGGTGGGCTCCAGAGCAGGGGGCAAAGAGGCCCCAGGACTCTCTCTGGCTGGGCAGATTCCCAGGAGGATGGGCTCACAGGGGCTAAAGATACCGCTGCTTCCTCCCGACTCCGAAAAATGTTGGAGGGCAAGTGTCCTTTTTTTTTAAAATTTTTTAAATTATTTGTAGAGATGGGGTCTCTCTATGTTGTCCAGGCTGGTCTCAAACTCCTGGACTCAAGGGATCCTCCCGCCTTGGCCTCCCAAAGTGTTGGGATTACAGGCGTGAGCACTGCTCCCAGCCACAAGTGTCCTTCTGAGGGGCAGTGGAAGAATACAAATGCCACCTGATTGCCAACAACAGTAGCAATCATGACAGTAACACAATAATAGGTAGGAAGGGAAGCCAGGGTATTGGCTAAACAAACGCTTAGGATCCTCCCCGTCATCTAATAGCCTGGGGTTCTACTGCCACAGCATCCCCTTCATTCCTCTGGTCTGGTCTCTAGTTCTTCTAAATCATCCACACACCAGCCAGACAAAGCTTTGGAAAGCTGTTTTTCGTTTTGTTCTGTTTTGTTTTCTAAATCACTCTTCTTCTGTGTCACATGTGACTTCAAAAATCTTCCGTGGCTCCTCATTGCCTTAGATAAAGTTCAGACCCCTCAACCTGGCCCTGCATCACCTGTCCCTTAAAAGAACCTTCCACACTTCTTGTTCTGCAGACAAAACAGGCACCTTTTCGCCCCCATATTTTGACTCACATGGTTCCCCCAGATGGAAATGCCTCCCCTGGCTTCTCTCCATGCATCCGGCTCCTTCCCCACGCTTTAAGTCCTCTCTTCTGACCCTGTGGGCCGCGGGGCCCTTTCCCTACCCTGATGGGCTTAGGTGCTCCCTTCCCTCAGGCTGTCATGCTGGGTGGCCTGGGGATGCCCCAGCACCCACAGTATTACATACTCTTGTAGGTAAGACTGTGAGGAGGAAGCTGCCTCTGCTTTTAGCACTGAAGGAATTTGCCATCCCTGCCCCAAATGTGGAGAGGACAGGCCCTTGCATCAGCTGGTCCAACCCTCACCGTCAGTGACCTCCGAGGTTCAGAAAGGGAGGGAGACTTAACCAGGGTCATCTAGCAACTACTTGGCAGACGACCAGACTCTAAGACCACTACACCTGCCTTCTCTCTCTTTTCCATTCCATTCTGCAAAACGGTTTTTTTTTAACTATTTCCATCCTGTGAATTTTTTTTGATTTCCAAAATTAGCTCTTTTGGCCAGGCATGGTGGCTTATGCCTGTAATCCCAGCACTTTGGGAAGCCAAGGCGGGAAAATTGCTTGAGGCCAGGAGTTTGAGACTAGCCTGGGCAACATAGTGAGACCCTATCTCTACAAAAAACTTTAAAAGTTAGCTGGGCATAATGGCATGCCTGTAGTCCTAGTTACTTGGGACTACAGCTACTTGGGGGGCTGAGGCAGGAGGATTGCTTGAGCCCAGAGTTTGAGGCTGCAGTGAGCTATGATCACTTCAGCCTGGCAGACAGAGCAAGATCCTGTCTAAAAACAAAACAAATAAACAAAAACAAACAAACAAACAAAAAAAGCCCTTTCTTTGAGTTTCTAAGGTCAATAACAGCCAGGCAGTTGCTTCATATATTGAAAAGATTTCTGCTAAAATTCTGCCAGAAGACAGATTGCTAGGGGATGCTTCTTTCTGACAGGTGTGACACCTCTCAGTTTCTCTGGAGACAGAATTCTTTCAAGATGGGCAGTATAATTAATCAGTTTCTATTAGTTCCTTATGTGAAGCAAATAACCACCCTGCCCTGTTAATCCGGCTTGTAAGTCCAAACTTTTCATGACAGCTTGAAGGATTTTACCAATGTGGGCACACCTGCATTCTAATCCTTCCACAGCACAACCTTTATCTGCTCCACCTTGTTCCCTTCCCATCCCTGCTACCCAAGGGCAAGGAGTCACTGTTCCTCCCAAACGCTCAGACTTCTAAGAAAACCTGTCACTGTTGTCAGGATTCCAGAAGGTCCACCCACCCCGTGGCAGCTGTGGGAGGGCCATGGGCCAAGGTTTAGGGTCCCGTGGTCATTGCCACCCTCCTGAGGTCAAATTTGAAAAGCGATTTGTTGTGGGAGTGGGGGTGAGGTGGGTAAGAACAATACAACATAGAAAACAGGGGGTGGCTCTGGACTCAGTATCAGGAAACCTAGGACCAAGACTCAGCACTACCACTACTATCTATGATACTTTATCTCCGAAGCAAGTCACAAATCTCTCCCAGCCTCACTTTCTGCTTCTATAAGATGGACACTGAAAATCTGCCTTTTTTTAGACGGTCAAACTGTGTGAGGTGGTATATACTTGTAAGGGATATTGTGCCATAGCTATGAACTGCCAAAGCCTCCCTCCTTCCTCCCTTGGGGCGTAAAAGGATTTTGGTTGGCACCACCCTGACATTTGGTTGGCATCACTCTGTTCATAGAGACAGAAACTTCCAAAGCATTAATACATGGCTTAACCACAGGGGCCGCTGGCTGCTCCATTCGTAGCTGACTAACCTGGAGCCCAGCAGACACCCTGCAGCCCCAGAAGGCCATTGGCTACCTCGGATTCGTGGATCTCCTCCAACTGCGGGATGCGTTACCTTCCTCAGGGTCCAGGGACATTGTGGCAGAGTCCTTCCACACTTCATGTACAAGCGTGCCGTTGTAGATGATGGTCCAGGCTGTCATGTTCACTGTCACTGTCTTCGTATCCCTGCTCAGGTTTTTGAGCAGTAGGACCAGGTTGACTTCTTTGCCTACTGCCAGCATGCCAGCGACCTTCAGCTTCCCGATGATGCTGGGCTCCTGTTCCTCTGTTTCCAAACCCATTGAAGACGTCGCGGCAAATGGCGTGTTGGGTTTAAGTTTCCCCAAAGCCTTTTGGAACACTTGTCTTTCCTGGTCAGAGCCTGTGTGGTGGGAAAAGACAGAAACATGCCAGGGATGTGATGGCAACCTGGGCAAAGGACAGTACCCTGCCTGGACAGGCGGCCTAGGACTGGTGCTGGCTCCATTGCTGCCCTAGCAGGCATTCGACTTTCACAGGTCTCCAGCTCGCCTGTCTTAACCGGAGACTCACAGACCAGTTGGTCTCTGGCGCTTTTCTAATCAGCTCTAAATTTCCCAAAATCTGTAGAAAAGCTTTATCACACCTGCACACAATTACTATGTGGCTTGATCATTTGCTTGCGTTAATTAGGTTAGATTCCATTTTTTTCTGATAAAATGTCTTTTGTGAGACTTAAAAAACAGATAATTTCAAAATAAATCATAAGAACTGAGCTGAAAAAGATTAGAATACATTCATAAGCCAAAAAGCAAGGTGATGATTTAGAACTGACTTAATTAAAAAATTTTTTTTGGTAAACCATGTTCTTCTGCCTTGTTTCTAAAGGTGCTTTGAGAGTCAAGGAGTGACATTTTGATCTGTGCCGGTTGACAAGGACTTCCCATGGTCGGTGTGGTTCCAAGTTATGACTAGTTGAAATTGTCCAGAGATTTCAGTTTTCAAAACTGCAAAGACTGGATAAAAAGATGGGTTTTCTGACTCTGACTCAGGCTATGGGTGCTGCTGAGTGTGATGGCGTAAGTAGCCCACAGAGAATGACAGGGATGTACCTGAAAATGGCTCTGAGGGCACACAGAGCTGAGTAACCGACTGCAAGCCTCTGAGCCAGGGCTGACTGAGCAGTTCACAAAAGGCTTGACCTGAAGATAGATCTAGGAGAAGGTGTTGACCTTCCAGGAACACAGGTACACAAGGAAGAGTGACCATGTTGACGTCTGCAGACCACACTTACATTCTCCCACCTTCCCCAACAACCTGTGAAATGCTTAAGGCACTGGATGACTTTCTTTTCTTTTTTTATTTTTTTTCTCTCTCTTTTTTTTTTTTTTTTTTTTTTGTGACAGGGTCTCACTCTGTCACCCAAGCTGGAGTGCAGTGGCATGATCTCAACTCACTGCAACATCCACCTCCTGGGTTCAAGAGGTTCTCCTGCTTCAGCCTCCCGAGTAGCTGGGATTACAGGTGCCCGCCACCAAGCCCAGCTAATTTTTGCCTTTTTGGTAGAGACAGGGTTTCACCATGTTGGCCAGGCTGGTCTCAAACTCCTGACCTCAGGTGATCTGCTCACCTTGGCCTCTCAAAGTGCTGGGATTACAGGCATGAGCCACTTCACCTGGCCCAGATGACTTATTGTAAGCATTTTACGATACAGCAAGCCCCTTCCCATAAATTACATGTGATTTGCAGAGACTTCAGAGGCCAACTCGTCCATGCCTATCAAGTTAAGGCCCTAAGAAGAGACACAACTTGTCCAGACCACTCTGAGATGGACTGGGCCAGTCATCTGCAGAGGCAGAGAGGGGGCCAGTTCCCTGGTGTCTGGACCCCTGGTCTAAGTTTCCTCCCACACACCCTGCTAAAAAGAAGGCAGGCAGCCAGATTACCTAAGCTGGTAGTTCCTGGTGGGCTGGGTTCCTTTTGATGCCTTCCCATCCTCTAGTCCAGCTGTAAGTTCAACCCAGAGCTGAAGGCAGTGCACGGATCTGAGCCTTCTGTGCCTGGGACCTTGAAGCAGGTGTGTTTGCACAATGAGGCTTGGAGCCTTGATGCCTATATAGGTCACCTGCTGGGTTTACTCAAGACTAAGCTTCCTCCTGCTGTTTTCTCCCTTTGCTGTTGCTATTGCATCAATACTTAGCAACATATTTTATGAGCTTTTCCTCTCTGGGGCCCTCAGAGAGAAGCTAGAGTCATTAGGTAAGAAGATCTGGGCAACATCAGGCAGGGTGATCTGTCCTGTCGCATAAGGGCTGGGGCATTGCTGGGAGTCCTTCAGGGACCCCCTCCCCCACCCCCACAACGGACCTGCCCATTCTCCATTGTTTAGGAAGTTTGGCTGAGACAGCCAGAGATCAAGGTGTGGGGTAAGGTAAGGAACCCCACAGGATCGTACAGTCATGTAAGCAGCGCCTGCAAAATAGTCACCTTGGGAAGTCATTGTTCCAGTGAGGCTATAGAGGTTCAAATTGATAAAGATCACCACTGCTATTTATCAAGTCTTGACTATATGCCAGGCATTGCACTTGGCACTTTGTATACCTTAGCTCATTTAAATCCCGCTGAAGACAGGCATTGCTCTTCTCATTCTTCGGGTGAGGAAGCGAGGGCTCAGAGATCAGAGGAAACTTGCTCGAGGTCACACAATTATGGCTGGTAGGGCTAGAGTTCACCTTCCGCCCCCGAGTTTTTGCTCCCTGACCCCCTATGCTTGTTTCTACGTCATAACATTGTTGAAAATACTTGTCCTACATCCCCACACCTCCAGCCCATCTGCAGTGTCCTCTGTTGCATCCCCAAGGCCCAGCATGAAGCAGGCACTCAGTATGGGGCTCAGAATATGTTTATTGACTGAGCAAAGGTCTATCTGAGCTCAGTCCTGGGAATGACCTGCAGAGGAAGACTGGGGCCAAATTGAGGCCACCAATCTCATAACCCTAAAACTGTGCCTCCAAATGTTCACAAATACCAGCACCTGGGGGGGCACCCACTTGGACTTGAAGTCAGACCCCATCACCTGCGCTCAGCTTTCCTTTTTTGTAAACTCGGCCAACACCATTAGCCAACCGTCACTTAGAGATTCAGGGCTTACTTTGTGGGTACTGTGTGCACCTTTATGAGGATGCTTTTCTTGACCCCTCAGAACCAACTGTGAAGATCAATGGAATGAGCAATTTCAAAGCATTTTAGAAAGTGTGAAATGTTGACCCCATTTAGGAGTGACTGTGGCCTGCAAGAGCAAGCACTAAATTACTTTTGGCTGTTTCTAAAAATGAACTTTGTCTTCAAATGCAGAACTTTTATCATCATTGAGAATGCTCCAAGAGATGCGCTGCTGGTTTCAAAAGAAACTCTGGGCAGTGAATATAATTGAGTCGAGGCAGCCTCGCAGCAACTGGCTTTCCAAGGTGACTTCAGGGGGACGAGCAATGTAGCATGCCTGAGATTTCAGGAGCTCAGGCATTCACACCATGTAATCACACCTCATCTGGCTTCTTGGGAGACCTCCAAATGTGCACAGTGCAAGCTCAGGTCTCTGGGTTTCTTTGTCCCTTTCTTCGTTCAGATGGTTTTCTCCCTGAGTTTCTCAGAGGCTAAGGGAGCAGACTGATGGAGAAATCTCTCCCAAAGCCCTTGGGGGCCTTTCATGGGGGCCATGTCTCTCCCTGTGATGTTCAGTCACGGTGCTGTCACCCTAGCTGTGTAGTTGAGACAGGGACACAGCTGGAGATGGGCTGGGTTGACAGCCACCTGTGCCCTGCAGCAAACTTCCACTGGCACAACAGCTGCCCGTGATGGTTTTGTTCCCTCCGGAAACAGTCCTGGGAGGTGGATGTTAGGTGCTAGGGAGCAATCCTATCATTCAGGCAGAACTGGCTGCCAGTGCGGGGGAGGTGAGGACTTTTCTCCTCTCCAGCCTCAGAGCCATCCTCCCACAATAGAACCTCTCGCGGCACTGCCCCGCCAGCGTCCCTCCTACCTTCTGGGTACTTGTACTTGTCCGTGACGTCCATGCGAGCATTGCTGCCCACCGCCTTGGTGCTGATGTACCTGCCAATGGTGTGACTGTTCACGGAATTCTTCCACTGTTTGCCAGTGGTGTTGTCGTACAGCCAGGTGATGCGGTCGGCATTAACCTCCGCGAAGATAAAGGGCATGTCGAAGTTCAGCTGCACATCACCCTCTCGAACACCAATGACCGAAGCGGGGCCGCACTGGAACACCCCTGGAGGCCAAGATGCAGAGGCTGGATATATGCCAAGGCCACAACCTACCCAGTGCCCGATTCCCCAGGGCCTTCCAGGACCACTGCAACCCCCTGCCTCTGCCCCGCCCAAATTCCTTCACCCCTGACTGTGTGTCCCACTCATTTGGCATTCTGCAGAGACCCTCCCGGGCTATGATTCTCTTGCTGGTCGAACTCAACCTCTACATAAGACTACACAATTCCGCATTCCGGGCGCCTAATCCATGCTGACCCACTGTCCTTGGTCTGTTTCCTAAAGAGGAAAGTCTTGCTTTCTCGTGCTCAGGGTGGCTGCCTCTTTTCTACCTCTGCAAGTCATTCTGGCCTAGAAGCTCATCACCTTCCTAGTCCAGGAAGACTTCCCTGAACAGGCAGCCTGCAGGGACCTCTTGTTCCTCTGAGCTCCCAAGCCTGACCATTTCTTCCCTCTTCTTAGCACTCAGCATAGGAAGCTTAGATAGATAGATAGATAGATGTCAGTGACTTTCAGCTTTTTTCACCACAACCCCTAGAAAGAAATACATTTGACATCTTGGCACACATATGATACAGAAACAAAAGTTTCACAGGACAATGGTCTTTAGTCTAACTATATCTTTTTTGTTTGTTTGTTTGTTTTTTTGAGATGCAGTCGTGCTCTGTCGCCCAGTCTGGAGTGCAGTGGTGCAATCTCGACTCATTGCAAGCTCCGCCTCCCGGGTTCACGCCATTCTCCTGCCTCAGCCTCTCTCAGTAGCTGGGACTACAGGCGCCCGCCACCACGCCCGGCTAATTTTTTTTTTTTGTAATTTTAGTAGAGACGGGGTTTCACCATGTTAGCCAGGATGGTCTCGATCTCCTGACCTCGTGATCCACCCACCTCGGCCTCCCAAAGTGCTGGGATTACAGGCGTGAGCCACTGCGCCCAGCCTAGTCTAACTATATCTAATGAGCCTTGATAGTTTATGTTCTTTTCCCTGCTTTCCGTTCCATTCCATTTCATTTTCTTTTCCTAAAATGATGGACACAGCCCACTAACTAGATTTTATAACCACTAATGGGTTGCAATGAAACTTTTGGAAAATTGTGGCCTAGCAAATGTCTCAGTTACCTCCAAGCCCCCAAATCTAGTAACGTGCACTGATTCTGGTAGAGGAGCTAGGGGTTGGGGGTGTGGTAAGACTTAAGTTTTATTGTTAGTCCTTTTAGAATAGTTTGAATTTTTTTCAACTACATGCACATATTACTTCATATATCACATTTTTTTTTTTTAGACGGAGTCTTGCTCTGTCTCCCAGGCCGGAGTGCCACGGCATGATCTCGGCTCACGGCTTTACCTCCGTTTCCTGAGTTCCAGCGATTCTCCCACCTCAGCCTCCCAAGTAGCTGGGATTAAGGCATGTACTATCATGCCCGACTAATTTTGTATTTTTACTAGAGACGGGGTTTCACCATGTTGGTCAGGCTGGTCTTGAACTCCTGATCTCAACAGATCCACCCTCCTTGGCCTCCCAAAGTGCTGAGATTACAGGTGTGAGCCACCACTCCCAGCCCCATAAATCACTTTTTAATGTTTCAAAGAACAACTGAAAATGAGGGTAACAGACAAGTCATGCTCTAGAGGTCAGAGAAGGGAAGAGGAAAGGCTCCAGGAGAGCCTGGGACCCAACCCCTGATGGGGCAGGAGACAGAGGGAGGCCAGAGGAGGAAGCAGAGGCCCGGGATAGGGATGGCAGAGGCAGCCTGCCTAAGGGGGAGCTTGGTGTGGCAGAGAGAGCTGCTGTGGGTGGTGACCAGTGGAGAATGTGGACTAAACCCCAAGGGCAACAGGGAACCATGAATTTTCTGTGCTGGGAAGGAGAGGCTGCTGCAGTTGGTGAAGGAAAATCATTACTGGCAGAGGAAGGCTGCTCTCTCTGCCCACCTGGCCTGTGCCAAGGCTCTGTGCAGCAACAGTGGCCATTGTGGGTGCAGGGCAGGCACTCATTTAAACAGCAGCCCGAGCCAAGCAAAATTAGCAGGGGAGATCTATTTTTAAACTATTTTTGTTTTAATCCCATCATGCATTCCAGAGGGAGAGGGCTTTGGAGTTACTTCCCTATGCTGCTGTCCATGGCTGTAAATAACTGTGAGGCTCACGACTCAGAACCACACCCAGAGAAGTTACCTTGGCTTCTTTCCTGCGGGGTAGCATCCAACACCTGCCATCCACCGTACGAGGGGCCCAGGTCAGACCTCACAAACCAGCCTTCATTCCAGACATGGAAATTCCTGCAGATAGAACCAGAGACTGCAGCGCTTGCCCAAGACCACACAGCAGATGAGTGGCAAGACAGCACATCTTTGCCCCAACAGTGCAGCATGACAACATGCATCGAGTGAGTTTGCCCTGTGACGGCGGTTATGCTAAGCCCTGGTGAGCATCGTCTCGTGGAAATCCTCACAGCACTGTGCAATAGGTACCATTTTTATGCCCGTTTTATAAAAAGGGAAACTTGGGCTCAGAGAAGTTAAGCATCTAACAATGGCAGGGTCAAAATGTGGACCCATGTATGCCTAACTCAAAAGTCAAAGCCTTGACCAGCATGCACCTTTCTAAGGAGCAGAACGAATCCAGATTGGAGCCAGCCACCCAGGGGCAAACCCACACAGCTTTCTCCCTCTGCCTGGCGGGGTATGCTTCTGTGCTTGGTGTTGGCCGAAAATGAATGGGGTTGCTGCAGGAGTGGCTGACTTATCTAAGAGCCACACCGTCTCTTGGCTGGGATCTGAACTGAAGAATGACACCTGCCAGTCCTCAAATGTTCTTTGTCTTATGTCTCAATTAGTAAGCCTCAGTCACCACTCACCCCTCACCGGGCACAGCCAGGTAGCCAAGGTCTTACTCATTCTGTCCCCCAATTCTGCCCTCTTCTCTCCTCTCCACTCCCATGGAAACTACAGTCACACTGGTCTTGGCACTTTTCAGTTCAACATGAAGAAAATATAAGTTCGACATAAATCCAAGTTCTAGTCAACGTGGAAAAAAATATTTCTATACTCATGAGGTGGAAAAGATAGTTCTAAGCAGACCACCCATTTCAGAAAGCATAAAGGAAGAGACTCATATATTTGAGTATGTAAAAATATTGAAGTTACATGTAAACAAACAAACCTGTAGTTCTGTTTCTGGTGTGGAGGATAAGCTCAAAACAGATGAATCCTTTTGCATATAATGATAAACTGTGGGGAAAAAAATGAAAAACTAGGAAAGACACCTGAGCATGATCAAAGCACTATGATTTTAGAGAGGAATCAGAACGTAGAGGAAGCTGCACTTTTTATGAGTTTGCTCTAAGGAAAGGCCACAGTTGGGGTAAAGTACATGGAGCAAGAACTCGACAGGCAGCCCACAGCTTTCTGATCTGAGGAACCAGGAGCAGAGCCTGAACCAACCTGGGTTGCTGGAGAGTGAGGGGGGAATTCTGAAAAGAGTCAAGGAAGCTGCCCAAACCTCTAGGTGACCCTCAATCATGCATGGATGAGGCAGACCATGAGCTGTTCAGCTGGAGATAAAAGCCCTGAACTGAGAGCAGAGCCACTGCCTACTGCAAGGGAGACAGTTTGCATGTTGAGTGACCCAAGATAGGCAGCCAAAACAAGAGAACAGAATTCAGACACATCCAGCGTCTGGGGTATGAGCCAAAATCACTCAACAAACAAAGAACCAGGAAAATGTGGTTTATCCTCAAGGGAAAAGATAATCCACAGAAACCCACCATAAAATAATCCAGATGTTGGAATTGTCAGACAAAGACTAAAGCAGCTACTAGAGCGAGGCTCAACGAAATAAAGGAAAATATGCTCATAACTAATGAAAAGAGATAAACTTTGGGCAGAGAAATAGAAAATATGAAAAAAAGAACCAAATGGAAAAATTTTAACTGGAAAAAGCACAAATATCTGAAATTAAATGATAAATAAACTTAATAGCAGGATAGAGATGACAGAGGAAAGAGTCAATAAATTTGAAGATAGATGACTAGAAATTATCCAATTTGAAGGCAAAGTGAGACAAATGATTGAAAAAAATCAATAAAGCAGAGAAAATATATCCAACATACATGCTAGATAGAGATTTACTGTATCAATATTGTAATGTACTTACAAATTGATAAGAGAAAGCATACTTTCCTTGAACTAAGTGATGAAAAAATAAGAAATAGAAAAAGAAAAACATGCCCATAAATAGCAACGAGCAGGCAATTTTTATAAGAAATACAAATAACCACCAAACATATGAAAATAGTTTTAACCTCAGTACTATGAAAAGAAAATTAAAATGACAAAGAGATAACATGACAGAGATACATAGATGACACCTATTAGACTGACAGAGATTAAAGCATACGGTGATACTCGTTGTGGTGCTCATTTCCAGGTGGGAAAACAAGCACTGTCATACCCCACTGGTGGGAGTTTAAATTGCTATGACCTTGTGGAAAGCAATTTGGCAATGAATATAAAAACTTGTAAAAATCTACATACTCACTGAGCCAGTAAGTCCACATCAGGGAATTTCTCCCATGGAAAAACTCACGTAAGTGCACATACATGTATATCTAAAGGTGTCCACCAAGGCATTGTTTGTAACAGCAAAAATGTTGGAGCAAAAGTTCATCAATAAGGGAATTGGCAGATAAATGGTGGCAGAGCCATGGAATGGGATATCAAACAGCTGTCAAAAAGGACAAGCAAAATCAATCTAGTACTTACATGGAGAGATGTCTAAGAGATATCATGAAATAAGAAAATCAGTATGACCAAACATTGTGTGTTCACACTCATAAGTCAAGGCTAAGCTATGAGAATGCAAAGGCATAAGAATGACGCAATGGACTTTGGGGACTCAGAGAGAAAAGGTGGGAAGGGGGTGAGGGATAAAAGACTACAAATTGGGTTCAGGGTATACTGCTCAGGAGATGGGTGCAACAAAATCTCACAAATTGCCACTAAAGAACTTATGTAACCGAATACCACCTGTTCCCCAAAAACCTATGGAAATAAAAAAGGAAAAAGAAAAAAACCTATGTGTATATATGTAGATGTATGATAAAGCTGTTCATTAAAAAATTATACATAAAACATTGGAGAAAGTCTACAATAATTCTATTTTCTTAGATATCCACCATTAACAGTTTGGTGTATGTGTTATATATATAGTGCATACAAACTAAGTTTTATGTTACTTATTTCTATAATGTTTTTATTTTCTATCATGTCAATTACTCATTACTTCTATAATTAGAAAATATATGTAAGTTGGATGATCATAGCTAACACAGTGTTAACACAGAAAGTTGAGTCCTGTGTTATTGCATATATTAACTTATTTAATCCTTACAACACCCTAAAAGACAGAAATGATTATTATTCCCCATTCAACAACTCTGGAAACTGAGGTTCAGGGAAGTTAAGTGACTTGAGAAGGTCTTACAGTGAGTAATTAAGCAGAGTGGGATTTGAATCCAGGCAGCTGGGGTTAAAAAAGGGAAACAGGTTAACAGTAGATTCCATTTTATGTAACCTGACTTTACATAGGTTCCATTCCATATAAGAGAATATGATGCACTTACGACGTATTTGAAATGATCTTATTTTTGAAGATTTTTTAATGACATAGGGAGAATGCTCATGATATAATGTTTAGTAAAAAACACATGACTAAAACTAATGGTGAAGTGATTGGTTTCGAGGTGTGGGAAAAAGTGGGATGTGTCTATTATATGCTCCGTCTTCTACTCATGCCTTGGAAAATGTATCATCCCAATTCTGTAAATAACAATAACTCAGAGAGAAAAGATGAATGGAAAACTACCAAGTGTTGAAGATATGTGAATAAGATCAGAAATGATTTTTATTTCTGTATGTATTTTGAATTTTTTTATAATTATTTTTAAAAGGGCATCATAAAAATGATCTCCAGGATCCAGGGAGTCTTTTTGAACAGGCCTTCATGATCGGTTAGAACTCACCAAGGAGAAGGCAAGGGAAGGAGTGTGGGAAGATGGTCCCAGGTGGGTGAGAGGAGCAAGGGAGGGATGAGAAAGTGAATAAGGACACCAAGTTTCACACTCAATTTGCTCCTGGCAGAGCACCCAAGGGGAAGGGCAGGCTGGTTAAAAAAAAAAAATTGATAAGTAGCTGTATTTTAATACTTGCTTGCAAGGCAGGAATTTAAGGCAGAGCAGATAACAACTGCATCCTGGTTCCTCCCTCATGCAAAAGCCAGCCACTTCAGTTACACAGAAATATTTGGGATGTGCATCTTTCCAATGCCCAGTGGCGCCATGTGGAAATTCCGGTGTGGGTTTCTGGTTGTGTGCCACGCTGTCTCCCACCCCCCAACCTCGGGCTCCACTCCTTTCCTGAGGGTTTCAGGAGCATAAGCTCAGGAGAGGACAGGCTGCGGGCATCAGAACTATCCAAGGCATTTATTAAAAAGTGCAGATTTCCGCTGCTCTCATCTTTCCCCACACAAATTAATTCTCATGCAGTCTTTGACGTTTATAAAACACTGCTCTACAGACACCAACTGAGCTATGCTTACCTTTGAAATCACAGAGTTAGGAGACCTTGCCTAGAAAGTGGCCCCAAACCCTGCCCTTCTGTAGGTAAACTCCCATTTGTCCTCCCAAAGTTTGTTCAGATACTACCTCTGCCAAAAAAGCCTTTCCTGACACGCCAAGAGAGTGCCAATAATACCTCTGTGCTGTCTCTGACTCTTGCAAATAATTCATTGATTTCATTGCTACTCCATAATTGCCAAGCTTTTAATGCAGCTGTAAACTCGTCTATTCAGTCTCTAAGGCCTAGTTATAAAACAAAACAAACAAACAAAAACCCTCCTCCAGCACAGTTCCTGCATCTTGTTCCTCTTGGTGCCCGGAGTCCAGTGCAGATGTGCATGGAATCATGTTTGCTGAATTGAGTTGTTTCTGGGCTGAAACCACTCTCTGTCACTTCCTCACTAAGGGCCTAGGAGCCAGTTCAGGATTAGTGGAAGCAGGTATTCAGAGGCAGAGGCCGTGGAGAGATTGCATGAGGAGCCAGGGGCTTGGCTGAGGTGTGGGTGCTGACAGCTGGAGGCACTGCCTGACTTCACCTCCCTGGCAGGGCTGGGCAGTCTCTAGGCACCTTCTACCTCAGAGTTCTGCAAAGTCTACAGGTAGAGTCAGATCTATGACTCTAGAAATTGGGGGATCAAGCCAAATGAATGAAGAAAACAAGCCAGAAAAGTCAAGATAACTTTGGCTAAACTGTTCCAAATCATTCGGCTGCTGCTCGGTGGCTGAATAGGCTCCAGAGACTTCCTTTGCAGTGGACCCGAAGGAGGACATCTCAAAGAAGCATCCCAAACTAAGCTCCCCCGAAAAGTGTCCTCACTCTGAAGAGAGTGAATACTCCGGAACTGCGTGACTCTTAAGCCAAACCATTGGCACGAGCAGAGTGGCTTAGAAAAAAATTTACCCCACTGGCTGCTGTGAATCTGATTAAAAGAAAGGCCTAGAAAATGTCACTGAGGTCCCCTGATCTGGCCCTTTGTTTTACAAGTGGGAAATTGAGGTGTAGCAAAGGCAAGGAACTTACATAATGTTATGCGCTTAGAATGTCTACATGTCTCCCGGTGTTTACCCTTAGACAAGTTACTTCTCTCGGGGCCTTTGTTTTCTCATCCATGAAAAATAAATTGGGGATGAAAATAACAATGCCTACGTCATTTGTGAAGATGAAATCTAAGCACTTATAACAGTACCTGGCACACAACAACTGCTCAACAAATTATTAGTTGCTGCTGTTACTATTACTAAGCACTTCTAATGCTTAATCTCCCTTGATTCTCACATTCTATTACTTTAGGCAAATCTGGGCACGGTTCTAAAGCTTTCAACACTTTTTGGTAACATACAAAGATTCATGTCAGAGGTTTTCTGTCCAAACTCCGGTTGCCCTTATAAGAATAGCTTAGTAATTTCACGCCAGGCAGAAACTGGCTCTTGGTTTAGCTCTCCCCTGCATGGGATTCAAGGAGGAAGGAACAGCAGGGCTCCCTTGGGAGGGCTAGCTCCCTTATAGAAAGTGGAGTGGGCTGAAGCTCCCGAGAATTTAAACATTTAAGCTGGCAAAGGACTTAAGAAATCATCTAGTCCTAGGCCAACCCTTATATTTCACATATGAAGAAACTTGGGACCAGGAGGATAAATTGCCTTGCGCAAGCCTCACAGCAATTGGGTGGTAGGGCTGGAGCTAGTGCTTGGGACTCCCTGTCCTCATGCCCTCCAGGGCTGGCTCCCCCAACCATCAGCTGTAGGGAATGGTGTAGGGAGTAACTATCAGCTCCCTTGGCTTTCTGAGAAGGTTCAGAAAAGGGGAGAGGAAGGGAGGGGTGACAAGATCCTCAGGAACAGTCAGAGCTTCTGCGCCTGGCCCCCTCCCATGAGGCCACAGAAATGACCACAGAGCCACCCTGGAATGTCTCCATCAGCTCCTACTTGTCCCAAAGGTGATGTTAAGCTGATGTGGGGGGCAGTGTGAATCACTAACCAGGAGACCTGGGTTCTAATTCTAAATTTAGCTTAAAAGCCTCACTTTCCTGTTTCCAGGACGCCTTCCTTGAGGATTTCCTCCGAGTTCCTGGTATCCCTGTCTCAGTCACTTGCCTGGGCATCACACACCATGCTGTGTTGCTAATTAGCCTCTACTAGTGGCCTCCCCACCCCGTGCCTCCTAACAGCACCATAAAAATGCTTTCAGTGGAGGAACTGAGACTTAAGCTTTCCACGTCCCTGCAGTTCCTAATGTACAGGATAATCACAGAAAGGGTATGCCGAGGGGACCCCCAACTTGTCTCACCAACCATCTCCTTTTGTAGAAGAAACTAAAGTTAGGAATGGCATAGCCCCAGTGATCAGAGCTGGTTGCGATGGGATTTTGGACACAAGAACAAAGAAAAGCCCAGGGAAAAGAAGACACTCATTCATGAGAAGTTGGAAAACAAAGTCTGGCCACAAGTAAGCAATATCATTAGAGAGAAAGTTGTGTATGTGCAGATCAAGAAAGAAACTCCTTAAATAAGCTTTCTCTCCCCTAGTAAAACCCCAGAATCCATTGACTCTGGGGTGAGTTACATAAACCTCACTCTCCTTCAGAAGGGAAGGGATGCTTTTATTACTCAACTCGGTTGCTGGCATGGAGTTGTTATTTATTTGTTTTAACAGTGTTTTCCATTATTATCTATTTTCGTTTCATTTTATACCCTTAGTTACATTAAGCACATTTCAGATAAGTTAGATATACTTATTCTGGGAATGATAAGTAATACAAACATTTTATGTAGACTATCTCAAAATTGAACATCTGAAAATAAGATTACATCTGTCATACGATTATCTAGCCACATACATGCATGTGAGCAATTATGTGTGTGTGTAGCCTTTGAAATGGATTAAAACAATAGATAGATGGGTACTTTATATAGATACATAGATATCTCTGTGTATCTACAGATATAGACATCATTGCCAATTGCCATCCGGTAATAACTTGGTATATGATATAACCTTAAACAGTTGTAACAATGTCTATTTTTATCTATATAATATCTATCTATCTAGTGCTCTATGCAGTTACAGATATATGTCTACACATTTCCTACTTCCAGTGGCATCTATCATTAAATTACGTGTGTGTGTGTATTGATAGTGTGCACATGGCATACTTATGGTTAGGAATATAAATGCCCAAATATATATAAAACATTTTGGCCGGGTGCAGTGGCTTACGCCTGTAATCCCAGCACTTTGGGAAGCTGAGGCAGGTGGATGGCCTGAGGTCAGGAGTTCAAGACCAGCCTGACCAACATGGTGAAAGCCTGTCTCTACTAAAATACAAAAATTAGCCGGGCATGGTGGTGCATGCCTGTAATCTCAGCTACTTGGGAGGCTGAGGCAGGAGAATCACTTGAACCTGGGAGCCTGAGGTTGCAGTGAGCCAAGATTGTACCATTGCACTCCAGCCTGGGCAACAAGAATGAAACTCCATCTCAAAAAAATAATTGTTTTCATCCGGAATCCAGAATAAACTCTGAACTTTTGATGTCAACCAAGGTATACAATAGGTGTATATATATATATATATGATATATATATATATATATATGCTAAGAGAAGATGTGTTGCTTTTCTTATTCTCTTTAAGAAAGTTTGTAAGTCATATGGATTACTTGAAATGAAACAAATGTATATTTCTTGCTGGAAAAGCAATAGTTTCAACTTGTATATTCTATAGTAGTATAAGGTCCAATGGATCCCATAAATTCAGAGTGAATTTAGGAGCCCTGTCTTTCACTGGGATCAGATCCTTTGTCTGACGGCAGCAAGATAGACCAGACTAGCAGACCGCAGAGCACCGAGAAGAGGTGTCTTGGGTGCTGCTAAGTGTGTAATCAGCATTGCCAGCAGTTCCATTCTACACCCTGTGATGACATGTTACTTGCCTTGCAACACCTGTTTGGACCTGGGTCCCAGAAGGATGGTGAGAGCGAGAAGCCACTCAAATGTGGTGCTCGAAGTTCAGGGAAAAGGTGAGATACTTACCATACGCTATCACTACCCTTGTCCAGGGGGTTTCCCATGGGGTCGTAGTACACATCCACACTGAGATTTCGGTCTGTGTCATGAGCTGAGTTGAAGTTGGTGATCACCCGGGAAGGAATCCCCAAAGACCGCAGCGCTGCAAGTCAGGGTGGGCGTGAGGACTCAGGTGGTGGAGATGGTACCTTGGCATAGCCCACTGCCACCCACTGACCCAGCCAAGGCACACCACACCCAAGGTACCTGTGTTGAGGGTCCCAGCAAAGACCCAGCACTGGCCATATCGGACTGGGCTGAAGCCAGATTTTTTCCAATTTTTGAGGATCTCCACGCTGCCGTTCCAGCTCCTTGGGTCCCGGCCACCGGTGTAAGTGCCGCTCCAATTCCCAGCAAGCACACCATTGTCATCATTGCTATTGATCTGGGCAGAAACCACCCCCCCAAAATGAGTCAGCACTAATGCCTTTCCTAGGGAGACTGACATGCAGAATTCAGAGGACAAGGTGGGGAGATGAGGAAGGAAGCCAAAGGCCATGATTGAACTTTTCTTTGTCTTTCTAGGTGACTTGGGGATGATCATTGTAACACTTAACCCTTAGGGGTATGGAGTGGTTTACGAGTTTAGAGGTGCTTTCCCAAACAGGCCATGTTTGATTGTCCTTGATCCATACGTCATTCCTGTGCAGCAGCCTGACATGGGAAACAGACAGCACAGCTTGTGCTGTGGCAAGGCAGGGCACAACTCCAGCTTGCAGAGGACTTCTGGCAGGTAAGAATCCACAGGCTATCACTGCTGTCACAGTCTGCCTGGGAGTCCATGGTTTGAAACTCTTTTTTGGTGTATGGTCTTACGAAAAGATCACTTTATTTATTTTATTTATTTTTATTTTATTTATTTATTATTATTTATTATTATTATTATTTTCTGATACAGAGTCTCTCTCTGTCGCCCTGGCTGGAGTGCAGTGGCGTGATCTTGGCTCACTGCAAGCTTCGCCTCCTGGATTCAAGCAATTCTCCTGGCTCAGCCTCCTGAGTAACTGGTGTTAATGCGTGCCACCATGCCCGGCTAGCTTTTGTATTTTTAATAGAGACGGGGTTTCACCATGTTGCTTAGGCTGACCTCAAGTGATCTGCCCACATCAGCTCCCAAAGTGCTGGGATTACAGGTGTGAGCCACCACACCCGGCCAAAAAGATCACTTTAGAACTTTAGCAACTAACTTCTTCTTGGAAAGAATAAAGATAGAGTATTTCTTTTCTTTCATTCATTCAGCTATTTGTTCATTTGTTAGTTTACTCATTCATTTATTCAATTTAAGGTTCTAATCTAAGTGACACAACCAAGAGGCAGCCTGGAAAGATCACTGGACTAGAAATCGAGACCTGAGTTCCATTGTCTTTTAGGGACACACTTGGAAATATTTACAGGTGAAATTATGACAAATGTGTAATGTCTAAGATTTATCAAATCATCTGTGAAAGAGAGGGTCGCAGATGAAATGACACCAGCCTTGAAGAGGTAATTGCTGAAGCTTGTGATGCAGACACAGGAGTTCATTATGCTTTTCTCTCTACTTTTATGTAGGTCTGAACTTTTCCATAATAAAAGTTAAAAGAGAGAAGGAGACACTGAGGTTACAAGCCCCACCTTGCCACTTGCCAACTTGATGATTGCACAAAGGTCTGTTCACCTCTCTAGGCCTTAGTTCTTCACCTTCCAATAGGGAAGGGAATTTTCAAGGGAAAGTTAGGACAAAGGTGCTCTGAGGTGTCTTTTGTAGTCAAGGGTCAGGGTTTATGAAACTTTGGCTGTCGTTTATCTGAACTGTGCAATGAGAGGCTGGACCAGGATCTCTGAAGGCTCCTCCAGCCTGTGTGTCCTACCCCTTCTCCTTGGAGTGCCTGTAAGTGGCAAGGCCTATGAGAATGGACAGTCTGGACACAGAGGGATCCTTGCCCAGGACAGGCCATGCCCAGCCTTGCCAGGCCCTCAGTGCAGTAGTGAGTTCTGCACCCCTTCCAGGAGGTCCTGGGCTGTCATGGCAGAGTCAGGCAAGACAGGGCCTCCTTAGAGATGGAAGGTTGCGCAGCCCTTCCCCATCTCCTGAGTCACTGGTGCTCCAGCCTCCAAAGTGGCTATCAGCACGGTCATCTCTGGCTGAAAGCTGAGCACTTCAAAGCTCCGCACAGGCCATAATTAGTTCATGGCCCAGCCCAGCTGGGAGGTCTGAATAGAGCATCTGGGAGGTGCAGCTGAGGAAATTGGCTCCACGATAAAGTGGTTTGGCCCTGGGGTGCGAGTGAGTCAGCAGCTGCAGGAGCCGCTGGCCTCACCCACTCTCTCCTAGGCCAAAGAGACTCAGCCTTCTAAGTCACCAGGGCTTTAATCCCACCTCTTCCAGGCCATTTGGTTTCAAGATTCTGTTCCAGGCTCACTTCCTCTCCATACTCTCCCTCGGCTACTAAGTTCCCTGGGCCCACCTTACTCCTTTCTTGCCAGGCTCAGTCTAAGACTCAGCTCTTTCCAAAAGCCCTCTCAGATGCACCCCGGATATTTATCATGCAGCTGAGAAGTTGTTCACATTTTTAACCAAGTAACTAGCTCATTAGCATGGACATATCCAACTCAAAAGTCAAGAGATCAAGAAATGCCTAAACCATGAAACATAGAAATAAATAAATAAAGGTTACAGGATTTCTGGGTAATTACTTAGTTTAAGAGGATTAAAGTAAAGAATTCACTTTGACTTTTCGCCTTTTTTTTTGGAGATAGGCTTTTGCTGTGTCACCCAGGCTGAAGTGCAGTGGCGCAATCACAGATCACTGCAGCCTGCAACTAACGGACTCATGCAATTCCCCCAGCTCAGCCTCCCAAGTAGCTGGGACTACAGGCATGTGTCACGATGCCTGGCTCCTGTGTGTGTGTGTGTGTGTGTGTGTGTGTGTGTGTGTGTGTATGTGTAGATGAGGTCTCACTATGTTGTCCAGGCTGGTCTCACACTCCTGGGCTCAAGTGATTCTCTGCCTTAGCCTCCCAAAGTCCTGGGATTACAGGTGTGAACCACTGTGCCTGATCACGACTTTTTGCATCTTAACTTACAACTTTTGAGCAGGTTGATCTAGGTTTAGATATTCTGGATGAATATTTTTGGAAACAGGGTCTTGCTCTATAACCCAGGCCTGAGTGCAGTGGTGCCATCATAGCTGACTGTAACCTCAAGCTCCTGGGTTCAAGTAATCCCCCTGCCTCAGCCTCCTGAGTAGCTGGGAATACAGGTATGTACCACCATGCTTGGCTAATTTTTGTTTGTTTGTTTGAGATAGGGTCTTACTCTGTCACCCAGGCTGGAGCGCAGTGGCATGATCTTGGCTCACCACAATCTCCACCTCCTTGGCTCAAGTGATCCTTCCACCTCAGTCTCCCAAGTAGCTGGGACTACTGTCACATGCTACCATGCCCTGCTAATTTTTTTTTGTTGTTGTTGTAGAGACAGGGTTTTGCCATGTTGTCCAGGCTAGTCTTGAACTCCTGGGCTCAAGTCATCTCCCCACCAAAGTGCTGGGATTACAGGTGTGAGCCACCGTGTCTGCCTATGCCTGGCTAGTTTTTTTTTAATTTCTGTAGAGACGAGGTCTCACTACGTTACCCAGGCTGGTGGCAAACTCCTGGGCTCAAGCCATCTTCCCACCTCCATCTCCCAAAGCACTGGGATGAGAGGCGTGAGCCACCACGCCCAGACTGGTTGGAGATATTCTCTACACAATGAGTGCAGAGCCATAGATGCCTTCTAGGGGATCTAGCTCGTGTGTGTGTGTGTCTGAGAGAGAGAGAGAGTGTGTGTGATTGTGTGAGTGTGTGTGTGTTTGTGTGTGTTGTAGGGGCACAGGCCTTTTCCATGGAGGCCTTGTTCTGGTCTGACTTGCATGCCGTGTGCCTTGAGCAAGCCACTTCAGCTCTCCAAGCTTGTTTCCCCATCTAGACCATGAATGAGGCAGCCTACCATCTGACACTCTGGGCTGTGCTCTGGGCTGTGGAAGAGATGAGTTAGGCAAAGGAGGTCACCACCTCCAGCTCAATCAGGGTCTCGCTTCCTTTCCCAGGAGGCCCAATGATGGAGCAGAGCCCTAGCTTTGCATTCTCCCATCCTTGGCAGGCACTCAAAGAGCAAGCTCCCTTTTCCTCTGAGAAAGGCTTCATGATGTGGTGGAAAGGGCTTTGAAGCTGGCTGGACCTGGGTCTGGCTCTGCTTCTGCCACATACTCACTGTGTGCCTCAGGCAAGCCCTGTAACTTAGAGGGGCCTTGTGCTCCAAGTTAGTAAAATGTGGATGGTTCTAACCACCAGCTGTAATTGGTGAGGCTTTAATGAGATGACATATGTAAAGAGTGTGCGTGCCTAGCTCATAGGTGGTGTTCAATATATGATGACAACTAGCTGTGATCGTTTTCCTGTTACTCACCATGGCACTCAGCACCCGGCCAACGTATTTGGGGTCATTTCTGCTGGCCACATCAGTAGCAGCGTCACGGCGGAAATTCAGACTCCTATCCAAGATTGAGAGGCAGATGCTGAGAATGTCTTCTTCAAACTGTTCAGAACGAGACCATACATTACAATTAAAGAAATGACAAGGAGAGTTGGCTCAAGAAGGGAACTGCACTGGCAAGAACCACAGGAACTATCAGATCCTTTGACTCTGTGGCCTCTGGAACTGAGAGCTACTGAGGACAGCCACCATGCCCAGCCCTCAACCCCGCAAACTCATCCAGAGCACTCACTACACACAAGACCCTGTGTATTTCCTCAAAGGCAGCTTTTGAAACAACAACAACAAAAAAGAGACAGAAAAGGATAATAAATAAAAAATTATTAAAAATAAAAAAGCATAAGACCTTGTGCAAACTCTCTTAAAGTGAATGCATGGGAGGTGGCTTGGTCTAGCCGACGCCCCGGCTGCCACAAACCTCAAGAGCAAGCTGTTTAGCCTGTCTGGCCTCGATTTCTCCATCTGTATAATTAGGCCAAACTCATCTCAGAGTTTCCTTCTAGCTCTGCCTCCCATCCTTTTTTTTTTTTTTTTTTTTTTTTTGAGACGGAGTCTTGCTCTGTCACCCAGGCTGGAGTGCAGTGGTATGATCTCGGCTCATCGTGACCTCCACCTCCTGGGAAGTAATTCTCCCGCCTCAGCCTCCCAAGTAGCTGGGATTACAGGCCCGTGCCACCACACCTGGCCAATTTTTGTATTTTTAGTAGAGACAGGGTTTTGCCATATAGGCCAGGCTGGTCTCGAATTCCTGACCTCAGGTGATCCACCCGCCTCAGCCTCCCAAAGTGCTGGGATTACAGGCGTGAGCCACTGCACCTGGCCTGCCTGCAATCTTGAGCACGTTATTGAGACTCCTGGAGAACTAGTTATAAAAATAAAATCTCTTGCTAAAGTATATGTATTTGAAGTGATTTTCACAAAATAAGACTTAATTGAAGTCATTGCTTCTCAAACTGAGAAGGCCGAGCTCCTCTTGCCTTAGGTCTTTGCATTTGCTTTTCCTTCTGCCTGATGCTCTTTCCCAAGATCTCTGTCTGGTGCCCTCATCTCCTTCAGGTTCCTGATCAAAGGCTCCTTTCTAAGTGAGGCCCTCCCTAACCATGCCATAAAAAAAAATAGCCTCTCTTCCACTCCTAGGTGCACTCTATGTCCTATCCTTCTCTTTTTTCTTCCTCCCAACTTGCTCCAGTTGACTACAGACAGGGTCTGTAGATGGTCCAAGCACACATCTTTCTGATATCCAAGGCACCCCGCCCGAGGTGCTTTATTCTAATGCCTTTGTCTGGTGGATAAACTAAAAGGTGGAGGGCATCCTTGAAAGTTTTCTAAACTGACCAAATCTGAGAACTCTGTAGACTCAAATGGGGATTGCTGTAATAAAGGAACAAAAGGGTGTGGCTTGGAAAGGCTGAGTGGGCACACTAAGGAAGTGTCATCGCATTGTTACATGGAATGAAAAACAGAAGCTACATTACTGTCCCCAGTGTCTCTTGGGGGCCTTATATTTATTTGTGCATCCTGGCACCAATACTACTTCATTGCATCAATTGAGTTATGTGTGTGTTCTGTCTTGCCCACTAGATTGCAACCCCCTCAAAGATGGATCTGTCTTATTCATCTCCTTTATCCTTAGTGTGGATCCCAGGGTCTGACACATAATAGGTGGCCAATGAAAGTCTTCTGAATACATGAACAAATAGAAGGGCAGGCAGATGGACAGATGTGGGACTTCCCATTGATCTGTGGGGCAAGCTGCTGAGCTTCTTGGGTAACAG
Source organism: Homo sapiens (assembly GCF_000001405.40). Taxonomy (NCBI): domain Eukaryota; kingdom Metazoa; phylum Chordata; class Mammalia; order Primates; family Hominidae; genus Homo; species Homo sapiens. The sequence goes on along the minus strand of NC_000020.11, from coordinate 2,311,164 downwards.
GGACATTACCCTTAGCTTCCTTATGACCCTTTTACCTGTCCAAAGTTCCAGCCAATCATGCCAATTCGGTTTGTGCTTCCCACAAAGATGATGCCGGCATCTTCCTGAACATACTCTTCTCTCTCAGCGTGGTTACCCATAAAGACGCTATCCACTATTTGATACAAAAAGCAGACACCAGCGACTAGAATCCTCGGAGGACTGTAGGGATCGTTCCTCCTCTCCTCCCACTCCTGAACCGGCCTGGGGGTTGGAGCAAGCCCCACCTTTAGCCCTCCCCTGACCCTTGGGCTGTAACTCTTCCAACTCCAATTGTGGGAACTATGAGCTGGAAAGAGAAGCTAGGATGACCCGAGGGTCTGAAAATGAGACCCCAGGGATAAGACACCTGCTCTTTCTGGCAGAAAGCTATCTCCATGCTGTGGAATTATACTGTGGTATTGTCCCTTAAAATGAACCATGCTATGCAGTTTGTAAAAGCTCAATGTGATCTCCACAATATTCCCAGAAGAAACAGCAGGATGTCCATTTAATGGTGAGGACATTGGGGCTTGGAGAGATAGAAGGACTGCCCACACTCAGACAGCTGCTTAAGTGTCAGAGCTCCTCATTTCTAGCTTCTGCGCCCTTTCCACAGCCCATGGACTTTCCCTAATCAAACTTGAGCCTGTGAAGATCATTTCCCCCATCCCCTTTTTCTTTTCTAGCTTAGGCCAGGGCTGAGAGTGTGGGTGGCTAGACACCTACCATTCAGCCAGGGGTTAAAAAGCAGTATGAACGTCCCAAGTTTCACAGAGGAGATGCCGCCCTGGGAGAAGATCTGGAGGGCCATTGTGTACCGTCCTATGGGTGCGCTGGCAGGACTGGAGATGCTGATAGTCAGAGTATTGCCATTGCTGGCCTGAAGCACCGCACTCCAGCCACCACTACTGCCATTGGAGAGTGGAAACACAGCCTTCGTCATGGCCGACTCTGAGGGGTAAGGCCCTGTCAAAGAAGACAGAGGTTGAGAAAACCAACAAGCACTGGTCAGACTGTGGAGAGACCAGGTTCCAATACAACCCCCCTCTGGGGGACATGAGCCAATGAAGCGCCATATTCTACCACTGGAAGTAACTGGAACAAACATACAGGCCAGATCCCTCTTGATTTGAGGATGGTGACTCTCAGGCTCAGAGATGGACAGCAACTTGCCCAAGGCCACACTGAATCAATGACAGAGCAAGGCTAGAACCCAATGCCAGTGGCCCCAGTGTGGTCCCCGTCAGTCCTTGAATGAACAAGGGCTACTCAAGTATGTGTGTGTTTGGGCAAGGAGGGGAATGAGCAGGTACCTGTGGAGACAATGAACTCCAGTCTTTCGTTAGAGCCAAGGCCTTTGTTCATGATCATTAAGACCTGGAAGTTTTGGCCTCTCCGCAAGATGAGCTCCTGGCTGGAGAACTTGTCTGTGTGATGCGCTTGTCGGTTGAAGGCCGTCTGCCAGTTGATACTCTGGACTCCTAGAGCTGTGAGGCAGAAAGGAGAACCTGAAGTCCTAGGAGGCAAGGGATGGTGGTGTGGGGGAAGGGTGTAAGTTACCAAAGAGCAGCTTTGGGGTGAGGCTTGTCAAGGGCAGAGCCAAATTCCTAGAAAGAATCACATTAAAATCCAAAGACCTTGATCTTGCATAGCAAGAACATCACAACCTATTCCCACTCAATCTTTCCAGACTCAGTTATGCCAGCTCACAGGATGCAAGATCATAGAAAATGCTCTGCCCTTTCAGACAGCTGAACCTCTGTGCATCCTGTTCCCACAGCTGAGAGTGTCTTTCCCCCCTCCATCTGCTGAGCTGTCACTCGGCCCTTAAGGAACGGGCCAAATGTTCAGTGGAGCTCCATCCAATCAATGAGGAGTACATGTCACCAGAGCACCTACGTTCTGTCTGCTTTCAGCATTTCTCATTGCTTTGTGGATGGGGGCTCCAACAGAAACGAAGGGAGGCGCCGGGTGTGGTGGCTCACGCCAGTAATCCCAGCACTTTGTGTGGCTGAGGCAGGCAGATCACCTGAGATCAGGAGTTTGAGACCAGACTGGCCAACATGGTGAAACCCCATCTCTACTAAAAATACAAATAATTAGCTGGTCATGGTGGTTCACACCTGTAATCCCAGCTACTCAAGAGGGTGAGGCAGGAGAATCACTTGAATCTGGGAGGCGGAGGTTGCAGTGAGCCAAGGTCACGCCATTGCACTACAGCCTGGGCATCAACAGCAAAACTCTGTCTCAAAAAAAAAAAAAAAGAACTGAAGGGAGGATACCTCTCTCACCCCCATCACCGTGGTTTGGCTTCTTTGTTGTCCCCTTGTGTGTCCCCAGACACCAAGCATGTTTCGCCTCTCCAGTATCCAGCAAATGTTTACTTTTGCATCCTTTACCTTCCCTGTATTTGCAATGCCTCGGTATTGGCCTGGGCCTCTGATGCTAGGGAGGCTGGCGGAGACTCTGAGCAGTGTTTCTAGGCCTAGCAATTGGGGAATCCTCAGCCCAGAGGGGACTTGCAAATGCTCACTGGCAAGAGCTATTTATAGGAGCAGGTCAAAGGCCATGAATGACCTGGATAAGACCCGAGGACAAACATCTCAAAATCCACCCTCCTGATTTACTCTCACATGGTTGTGAAGATGACGGAGCTAAACTGAGAAGGGTTTATGAGAGATGCCATGATGTACCAGGTGTTCGCTGATATAAACTTTTTGGGAAATCTTCCTATGAGTTATGTTTAAGAGGTTACATCACCCATTCTTCTGCAAACCAAACTGGTCTCTGTCTTTACAGAGGCCATGGCTCTGATGAGAGTGTGAAGGTGCATTCCAGTGCCAGACACAGCTCTTTTTTATTTGTGTCCATCTCTCTGCATCAGAACATCCCTTCTTAATCTTTTATTCTATTTTATTTTTGAGGCAGAGTCTGGCTCTATTGCCCCAGGCTGGAGCTCAGTGGTGTGATCTCGGCTCACTGCAACCTCTGGCTCCTGGGCTCAAGGGATTCTCCCACTTCAGCCTCCCTAGTAACTGGGACTACAGGCCTGAGCCACCACTCCCAGCTAACTTCTGTATTTTTTGTAGAGACAGGGTTTTGCCATGTTGCCCAAGCTTGTCTCAAACTCCTGGGCTCAAGTGATCTGCACGTCTTGGCATCCCAAAGTGCTGGGATTACAGGCATGAGCCACTGCACCCGGCCCCCTCTTGATCTTTATATTCTGATGCCTAGCACACTGCTTGACTGTATTAGGATAATTAGGTAAATAAATGGATGAAGGAATAAATGAACAAAGAAAGAAAAGACTAATATCATGCGATGACCATCATGACGACAGCTGAAAATTTAGTCTACAAGGAAAAGTGAATATGAAGTATTCATTCAATAAAAATATTACAGCAGCTATTATTCATAGGACATTGTGTGAGGCACAATGTTGGGAGTGTACACGTGTATGAAGTGTAGTTATAACTCTCCAAGAGCTTCAGCAGTGGATAAGACAAGCATAAGTGATCATGAATGGTGGAATGGGATAAATCCAGGAAAGGTGTATGAGAGATGCAGGCAGGCAAAAAAAGTCACTTTCAGTTGTAGGGATCAGGAAAAGCTACACTGAAAATGCTGGGCCTTGAAAGGAGAGAGAATTTTGCCGGGTGCCCATAGAGCTGCCTGCATTCTAGACAGTGGGAAGGAGAGGCCCAAAGGCACAAGAGAAGGAGTGATGTTACTTGTCTGGAGCAGGGGCGCTGCGTGGAGAAGAGAGAAAGGTGAGACAGGAGAGAGTGGGGGTTGGGGCAGGACTGCGGAGGGGCTTCCACTCAAGAGCACTGGAGATGGGGCAGAGGGTCACCATAGGTACCCTCTCCAGTAAAATGCAGGCTCCCTGGGATGGTGAGCCAACCTGCCACTGGAGAGAGGGGACTCAAGAGGTGAGCTTACTCCCAGCTGAGGGTGCTAAAATTCATTCATTCAAACATCCACTCACTCATTCATTTAACAAATATTCATTGAAAGAATAAATTAATAGGTTTTTGCACAAATTCAGGGAAACTGAGACATTTGTGCAATCAACAAGGGTCTGTTGAATGAAGGGAAGAAATAAGGGAGGACAGAAAGGACAGAGGGAGCAGGGGGAAAATGAGCATTCTGTACCTGAATAACCAACAGAGACAGCCCAGAACTCAGACACTGGCAAACACTGAGCCCTAGATGGCTGTGTACAGCTGATAGATGCCAGATCTCTCTAGGGAAATGGCCCCCAACTTTCTCCCCTCTCCTCCTGCCAACCTTGCTCACTACTTTCTGTGCATCCCAGCCAGTTGAGATTTGGTAAAACTTTACTCACTTTAGAAAAAAGAAGGGCTGGCGGGGTACAGTGGCTCACACCTGTAATCCCAGCATTTTGGGAGGCCAAGGTGGGTGGATCATTTGAGGTCAGGAGTTTGAGACCAGCCTGGACAATATGGCAAAACCCCGTCTCTACTAAAAATTTAAAAATTAGCCTGGCATGGTGGCGCACGCCTGTAATCCCAGCTACTCAGGAGGTTGAGGCAAGAGAATCACTTGAACCTGAGAAGCAGAGCTTGTAGTGAGTTGAGATCATGCCACTGCACTCCAGCCTGGGTAACAGAGCGAGATTCCATCTCAAAATGAAAAAAAAAAAAAAAAGAAAGGAAAAGAAAAAGAAAAAAGAAGACCTCTCAAATAAGAACCTCTGGAAATATATATTTTTAGGAAACAGGAACTCTATGGAACATGTGGTTTCAGAGCACTTGAGCCTTCTTAGAGATTTTTCACCCCACCTCCAAATCCCAAAGGATGCATGTCCTTTTCCAGATAAAGCTCATTCTAGACCATGAGTTCTTTGAAAGTAGAAAGTCTGCTCCAGATGGCTGTTTGTCCAGCACAGTGGTAAGGAAAGAGGGGCGGGGTACTCAGCATCTCTTGCTGGCACCTGCCTCTCCCAACAGGCCCACACCCTTCTTTGCTCCAGCAAAGTTCATGCATTGTTTGCTGTGGCTGTGTCAATAGTAGAGGCTCCTCCCATTCATCCCAGAGACCAATGTCTTGTCCCTAGAGAGGATGAAAAAGAAAAAACTGAGCTCCAGGGTGCCTCCCAACAGGGAAACCTGCAGGAAGAATATGAGGGGTATTTTGCACGCCACACTAGGTCAGACCTGGGGTGACTGTGGTGGTGGTGATCATACTATTAGTTGAAGTTTACTGGGCATTTGTGTGCCAGCCATCTTTCAAAGTGTTTACGTGCATTAGCTCATTAACTCCATAAGGCAGGCACTTGTAGACGTCCTGTTTTACAGACAAGGAAGCCAAGGTGTAGAGAAACCAGGTGCCTTGGTCGTTGTCACCCCACTCCACAGTGGAGGACTGCAGGCTCCAGAGCTCGCATTTGCACTCATCATCTCTGCCTTTTCTGACACCAAGCGTGAGCCCCGGCAGCACCAACGAGCCTTGCTCCCTGTTAGGGTGGCTGTGGGATGTGCGAGACTGCTCCGAGCTGGAGGAGGAGGAAAAGTGGGGCTCACTTTTGTCATCAGCCTTCTTTATGCCAACTGCTATGCGCAGTCCACAGAACATGTTATGTATGTGGTCAGTGAAATCTTACAATGAGGAACAAAGGCTCAGAGAGACCAGGTAGTTTAACTGAGGTCACATACCTGGAAATTGGCAGAGCCAGGATCCTGAACCCAGGTGTGGCATAATGAGAAACACGTATTTGATCTCTGCTTTTTCTTGGCACAAAGTTCCTGAAAGCCTTGGAACCTCCAAAATGATGAGTGACTTCTTGTATGCTAATGAGATGACTGGTACTGGCAGCTCCTGGATAGCCTCAGGATGGGAGCTGGTTGCCAGGGGAACCAACCAGTGACTAGAGACTTGGGACTTTCAGCCTTATGCCCACTACCCACGTCCACAGAGGGGAGAGGGACTGGAGGTTGATTTCATCACCAATGACTGATGACTTAATGAATCATGCCTATAAATGAAGTCTTCATAAAAACCCAAACCCCAAAGGATGGGGCCTGAGGAGCTTCCAGGCTGAACTCATGGAAGTGCTGGGAGGGGGGCATGGGGGCTCTGTGCCCCTCCCCACACCTTGTCTCAGGCATCTTTTCCATCTGGCTGCTTCTGAGTTGTATCCTTTTACCATAAGCTGGTCGTCTGTTTTCCTGAGTCCTGTGAGCTGTTCTAGCAAATCTTCAAACCTGAGAATGGGCTGGTGGGAACTCCCGATTTAAATCTGGTCAGTCAGAAGCACAGGTGACAACTTCTGAAGCACTGGCATCTGAAGTGGGGGCAGTGTTGTGGGACTGAGGGGTGTGTGCACTCCCTGTAGGCTGTGTGCTAACTCCAAACAGTGTGAGAATTGAGTTGAAGGGTAGGACACCCGGTGGGTGTCCACTGCAAATCGCTTGGTATGAGAACAAACCCCACACATTTGGCGGTTAAGAAGTATTAAGAGTAGTCTGGAAGAAAAAATGGTGTTTCCTTTTCACCAGGACTTACTGACTCTACCCTGTCACTGTGGTCCCGAAACCTCCTTCTGGAAGAGGGTCTCATGCAGGATTTTGAGTCCAGAAGGTGCCCTAAGTGGTGAGGGGCCCTCATGCTGCATCGTCCACCTGCTAGCATTTGGATTCCGACAGAGGGGAGAGAGCGAGCTCCTGGAAGGAAAACATCTCTTCCAAAAGAGCCGTCTTCAGGGGAGCTGGACAAAGGGGACAGCCTGCCCCGCATCCCTGAGTAGGGGCTGCCAGCTGAGAGCGTGCTCATCAAGCTTCCAGTGTGGTTCTGAACCCTTCACTGGCTGCCTCCCTCAGTCATCGTCCTGTCCCTTAACCCTAGGATTGCTCTGCCAGCCCCCAATTCAAGGATCCAATGATCCTGTCTCCCCAATCCCAAAGCCCTTGACATGTCACTCATCACAGCCCACCCTGTCAGAATGTGTAGGAAAGGAGAGGAGGGGAAGGTACTCAGCTGTCTAAGGTTCTCAGGTTTACAGCTTTTTGTATATTTACGAGCCTCAGGGCTGTCTTCTGCACCTTATGTCTTCTGCACAGTCTGGGTGAAGGGAGGAGAAGAAGAGACAGGAGTCGCATGATTCTTATAACTGACTCATCAACGTACACACTTAAAAGACATCAGCGGGAAAAACCTTAGAGAACAATCACATACTCCTAACCTTTATTCCAGATGTGAGCACATGGAGGCCAGAGAGGTGGTTTGCCCACAGTGTGACATCTCCAAACTCTGATTCCGTGCCACCTCCCTGAGTTAATGCTTAACTCCAGTGTCAGGCCTGGGGCAATTTCCCAGATTTTTTTTCCTGAGAACATCAGTGCCAGCAGCAATTCTAATGTGGTGGACTGCCAGATAAATATCTATCCCAACGTTCACTCGTTCCTTCTTTCCTGGTAATGAAATCCCCCATATGTGCAGGCACTACTTTCCCAGGCTCCACTCTGGCTCGGTGGCCATGGGGTAAATTTAGGCCAAAAGCTTTTGGCAGAAGTTACAGGTATTAACTTCCAGGAACTCTCTCTTTTAAAAAATCGAGGTAAAATTCACAACATAAAAATTGCCATTTAAACCATTTTAAAATGTACAATTCAGGGGCATTTAGTACACTCACAATATGCAATTATCTCCACTATCTAGTGGCAGAGCTTTTTCATCACTCCTCAAAGAATCCCCCAACTCCATTAGCAGGAACTCCCCATTTCCGCCTATCCCCAGCCCCTGCCAACCCCAACTCTTTCTGTCTCTGTGGATTTGCCTATTCTGGGCATTTCTTTTTCTTTTTTTTCTTTTCTTTTTTTTTGAGATGGAGTCTCCCTCTGTCGCCCAGGCTGGAGTGCAGAGGTACGATCTTGGCTCACTGCAACCTCCGCCTTCCGGGTTCAAGTGATTCTCCTGCCTCAGCCTCCTGAGTAGCTGGGATTACAGGCATGCACCACCACGCCCGGCTAATTTTTTTGTATTTTTAATAGAGACAGGGTTTCGCCATGTTGGCCATCCTGTTGTCGAACTCCCGACCTCAAATGATCCGCCCACCTCAGCCTCCAAAGTGCTGGGATTACAGTCGTGAGCCACCTCGCTCGGCCCTATTCTGGGCATTTCATAAATTAACAAATGGAACCACACAATATGTGATTTGGGTCTGACTTATTTTACTTAGCATAATGTTTTCAAGGTTCGGTCATGTTGGAGGATGCATCAGTAGCTCATTCTTTTCTTATGGCTGAATGAGAGTCTATTATATGAATATTCCATGTTTTGTCGATGCATTCATCAGCTGATGGACATCTGGGTTGTCCCTACATTTTAGCTACTGTGAGTAGTGCTGCTATGAATGTGCACATGGTAATATTTGTTTGAATACCTGTTTTAAATTTTTTTTTTTTTTTAGAAAACCTCTTTATATAAACAGTTGGCAAATGCCCTTTGCCTGTTTTCTTCCTCTTCTTCCATTCTGCTGTCTGGAGTGTGGGTGTGACAGGGACAAGCCTCTAGCGGACATCTTAGACCATGCAGGGCCATACGTACCCTAGCGATGGTGGAGAGGAGACTGGACAGAGCTAGGGCCTGAGGATGGTGCCACCACCTGGCCTGCCCAGAACTGCCTGGTTCCAGGCCTTTCGTGTAAGGAAGAAATAAGCTTCTGTCTTATTTTTCTAAGCTATTGTTTTTTGGGGGGGTTCACTGTTAATCACAGCCAAACATAATCACAAATATGTTAATATAACCCCTGCCCATTTATTCTGTGGTCCCTCTTTCACATGAAAAGCACAGAGAAAGACTCCAGACTGTGAAAGGGAAGTTGCTAGTCAGCCGTCTCAATCCTTGTCAGCCTGGCTGTATAATTGAATCACCTGCAGCACACGGGTGAGAATGACTTGGTCGCTGGGTGTGTGATGGGGCTCCCATCTCCTGTTCCAGGGAGGACCACACCACAGAGGGGCTGACAGGGGGCCCAACATGGAGTGATGCTACTCTAGTGGCTGGGACTATCCCTAGCCCCCAACCAGACTCTACTTCCCACACCTTTTCTCTAGACATAGATGCATTTTTATTTTACAGAAGTCTAGAGTTAATGAGGGCTGACAGAAATGCTAAAAAGTGGCTGGGCACGGTGGCTCACACCTGTAATCCCAACACTTTGGGAGGCCGAGGCAGGAAGATCACCTGAGGTCAGGAGTTCAAGACCAGCCTGGCCAACATGGCAAAACCCTGTCTCTACTAAAAATACAAAAATTAGCCGGACGTGGTGACACATGCCTGTAGTTCCAGCTACTTGGTAGGCTGAGGCAGGAGAATGGCTTGAACTGGGGAGGTGGAGGTTGCAGTGGGCTGAGATCTCACCACTGCACTCCTGCCTGGGCGACAGAGGGAGACTCCGTCTCAAAAAAAAAAATGCTAAAAAGTATCTAGCTGAGTGGTTTTTAAGCTCTATTGAGAGAAGCCAAATCAAGAAATCTATCTAATAGTCTTTACATACATGGATCTGGAACTGACACAAGGTTTCACACGGCTAATGCTTACTATGTATCAATATACTCTGATATTTTCTCTTCTGCTTTTTTTTTTTTTCTTAATGGCTGGTCACAGTCCACTAAACTGATTTCACAACCTGCTAATGGATGGCAACTGGCAGCTTGAAAAACAGTGATGTAATCTAGTATGCCCACATGACAGGTCAGAAAGCTGAGGCCCTGAAATGGGAAGCCATCTCCCCTTCATGAAAGGGGAAGTCACGGAGTTGAAGCAGATCTTAGCCCAGAAGCCGGGTCTCAGATCCTGGTCACCGACAGGCTGTGAGTCATCCCACTTCCCACCCCTAGACACTGGGAACATCTTTAGCTCCTGGCTGGCCCCTCCTCTGGCTCCAAGGACACACGTGCTTTCCTGCTCAGCACCCATCTCTCTCTCCTTTCTCTCTTTCTAGCCTGTGTCATTTCCTTTTAACTTCCCCCACATATCATGACATTTTCAAGCTCTGTGCAGCACAGGTGGCACAATTTCTTGGCATTCAGGGAGAGTAAGGGGCTGGTGAGGATGAAGAGAAATGAGCCCCAGATTGGTGCCTGAACCGGTGAGAGGCCCTGAGCAAGGGTCTCAATGTCTCTGAATTGTACTTTTCTCACCTGTAGAAGAGGGACAGTGAGACCTGGAACATCTTCTCTCTTAGGGTTATTGTTGGGATTCAACATATACCCATCACTAGCACCGGGGCCCCCAGAGATTGGGGGAAACTAATACTGTTGGGATCCCATATGTAATGGCAAAAACAACCCAAGAGCAGAAGAGGCTTTGAGCTTTTAATGGGCTGCTATTGAGGACCTCTTATGTGTCAGACACTGAGCTAAGCATTTCACCTGCGTTATGTTTTTTAATAGTCACGAAATACTGACTATCAAAATGGTGTTGCTGTCCCCATTTCACAGATGAGGGCTTTGGAAGTCCAGTCAGGTGAAGTCACTTACTCAATATCAAACACTCAGGCAGAGGCTGGACTCAAGCCCAGACTGAAAGTCAATTTTGCCTGACCAGATATGACCCCAAGCTGCCGCCCTGTAGCCAACCAAGGCAGCAATGACTTAGACACAGGTCCTGGAGGGGCCATCCACAGCCTACTCCCTGCCTAGACACCCTATGGTCAGGGCAAAAGGAGAGGACAGAAGGACTTCTCTTCCTAAGAGAGAGTTTAGAATCTCTGAGACCAGAGGCTCTCAACCCCAGCTGCCCAGAAGAATCACCTGGAATGTTCTATTGGTCTGAGACCCATCCCAGGCAAATTCAATTAGAATCTTTGGTTAGGGATGACACTGGCATTTTCTTTCTTTTCTTCTCTTCTCTTCTCCTCTCTTTTCTTTCTTTCTTTCTTTTTTTCTTTCTTTCTTTCTTCTCTTTCTTTCTTTCTCTTTCTATTTCTTTCTCTTTCTCTTTCTTTTCCTTCCTTCCTTCCCTCCCTCCCTCCATTCCTTTCTTTCTTCCTTTCTTTCTTTATTTTTTTTTTAAATGGAGTCTCTCTCTGTTGCCCAAGCTGGAGTGTAGTGGTGTGATCTCAGCTCACTGCAACCCCTGCCTCCTGGGTTCAAGCAGTTCTCTTGCCTCACTGTAACCTCAGCCTCCCAAGTAGCTGGGACTACAAGTGCGTGCCAGCATGTCCCACTAATTTTTGTATTTTTAGTAGATGAGATTTTGTCGTATTGGCCAGGCTGGTCTCGAACTCCTGACCTCAGATAATCTACCCGCCTTGACCTCCCAATGTGCTGGGATTACAGGCGTGAGCCATTGCACCCGGCCAGCATTTTCTTTAAAGCTTTCCTGGTGATTCTAATGTGCAGCAGGGACTGAGACCTCACTACCTTAGGCCCGTTTATCATCTACACTTATAAAAGCTCCTTCACATAAATTACCTGACCAGAGCCACCCGGCAGCTATAGGAAGGAGGCAGGGGAGGAGTCGCTGTCCTCTTTTTACAAATAAGGAAAATCAGGCTGAGGGAGGGGAAGGCTGACTCCTTCTGACTCCCATCTCTCAGCTCCTACCAAGATCCTAGGGCCTTGTGCCCTCCACTGCTAAGCGAGATTTCCTAACTTCAGCACACACCCCAGCCTGGCACGTGGGCCCTGGGGAGGAGAATGATTGCTCCATCTGCAGAGACAGCCCTGCGGGGTGGAGCCGCATGAAGTTACTTGAGGTGAACAAGGGGAGTGCTCAGGCATGAGGACTTTGGACTTGGGAATGGATGAAGCGGGAGTGGGGAGGACTTGTGCTGAGGCGCTTAATGGAGAGGGTCCCCTGGGAATCGCCCCTGATTAGAAAATGTAATTCCTCTCATAGGGTTTTTCTTAAGTCCCCCCAAGACAAGGAGAAAACAGGCTCATGAAAAAATTTCCAGGTAATCGTAAGCACCCATGAGGTGGATACTGCAATAACCCCATTTTGGAGATGAGGAAACTGAGACACACAAGTTAAGTGACCTGCCCAAGACCACTCTTCTCGTAAGGGGCAGAGTGGAGCCTTGATCCAGAGAGCACCTCTGAACCTGCACTCTTAACCCATCAGCTATCCTGTAAGGAATCCTACAGGAACAAACGCTGAAATACGGGCAGCTGTCATTCCCGGTGGAATGAAGCTGCTCATGGGCTGTCTCTAAGGAACAGGGAGTAGCCGCTGTCCCAGGTGGAAGAAGGCCATGGAGCCGGGCAGACAGGAGGCAGCTGGTCCTCATTTCAAACAATGAGCAGCTGGAGTCACAAGACTCTGAGCCCAGAGGGGCCATCTCCTTTTCAGAGAGAGAGAGAGTAGATATTGCCTTGGTCCCAGTGCCAGACACAAAAATATGAGGAGGGTCCAGGAAGCACCTAGAAGATTTACAGAAGAGAAGGAGGCCAGAACCCAAGAGCAATTCCTGACCGCTTCCATGGGAGGAGGGGCGACTGGTGTCCCAGCTCCAAGGAGAACGGTTTGGTGGTAGACCCAGACGCTGGGAATGGTACAGGTCCTTTGGGGGTGGAGGAAATGAGGCCTTGAGATGGGAAGTCCCTGAAGCCAAGGCCAGTGCTCTGCCTGGAAAAGTAGTTGGCAAGAAAGCTCACTGCCCCAGAGGGACAGAGCCATTAGTCCCCAAAACAGAGGTTCTGGTCATTTGCAGGCAGAAGCCTGTGGTTCAGGTGTGTACCCTGAGAACTCTGCCACTAACCCAGGGCTTCCAAGTGGCTTTGGGGATGGGGAATCTTGCCTCCCCTCCACACTGGGGCCCTCCTCTGTGCTCACAAACTGCTCTCCCACCCACTCTGGGGATGCCAGGCCACTTGGTGCGGATCACTGCCAGGCCTTCCTCCACTACCTTCATTTCCAGCCACAGCCCAGGCTGCCTTCTCCACCAAGGGGTGGAATAATGGAACCCCTTCTGATTGCAACAAGAACCTTAAATTAGGAGCTGGACACAGAGTCCTCTCAAAGCAGCACACCTGTCATCCCGATAGTCCCCTGGGTCACACCTGCTCACACTGACATTTATTTTCCTGTTCCCTCTGCCCTGCAAAACCTCTCCAGACCAAGTCCAACTCATTGTCTGTGACCATTTTTCAGAGTCTTCCCTATCCCAAATTCCAGACAAGACTAATCTCCTTCTCTTGTTGGTCCCCGTAGCACTTGTTTTGTATTTGTCATGCAGCTTAATAACAGTCTGCCTTGCATGCTGCTCACCTAAAAAACCGGTGGTACCAAAAAATATCAGACTAAAAGCTACCGAGGACAGAACCACATCTCATTCACCTCCATATTTCCCACTGCACCTGGCACAGCTCTTCTCCCTTAGGTGTTCAGTGAATAAATTCATTCATCCAAGAAACACTGATTGGGAACTTCCTGGCTGAGTGACTCGGAGCTGAGCTGGGAACTGCAAGTGGGACAAATTTAAGGGACTGAATGTATTCGCCTGTCTCTCCACCACCTTTTCAAAATTGATTTTCTCCCCACCAGCCTCATTCTGTTGTGACTTTAGAACATCTCTGGTTGTTAACAGAGACATTTAATCATGCCTCACAGCGGGCAGGCCATTCCTGAGAGTCCACGGGAGGTCCTGCACAGGGATGGGAGGTGCACATTCCTGGGGGCTGGGCACGTGCCTGTCCACTCCCTGGCTCTGGTTTCTTTTTGTGGAGAAAGAAAAGTCGGTACTGGAAGGAACCTCAAAACGCATTCATTTCAAAGCTTTCATCTTGAAAACTTGAGGCTCAGGGGTGGCAGAGAACACACAAGCAGTTGGTCACAAAGCTCAAATGAGAAGCCAGGTTCAGAATTGCTTTTTTATGTTCCAGATGTTATGTGCACTTATGTAGGAGCTCAGCTCTGGCAGCAGGACATGGTGGAAAGGGCACTGCTGAGACCTAGCTGGCTCTGCGATGGATTCACTGTGTGTAAGGTTCCACCCCTTCCTGGGCCTCAGCCACCTCCTGGAGGGAGGGAGATGGGCTAGATGACATCTGACCTCCCCTCTTGCTGCAGTGTGTAGGGTCCAGAGCTCCTCTTCTTAGCATCCCAGCCATGCTGTACATTACAGCAAGGAATGGGAGACAGGGGAGGGGGCCTAATGTGCAATCACCTGTCCCAGTTTTTGTGGCTTCTGAAGTAGCCAGCATTTGCCTGTTGCATTTGGCTCAGTGATGTCTTTGGCCAATCTTCCAGCAGCCCTAATCGCCATTCACAATATTTTACAAGTTTGACTCATATCTTGTTTGGATTTGGCGTCCCTGTCAACCTACTAGGCTGAGCACACAAGACAGATAATAATTAGCATGCTGCTTAGCAGGGGTGCTGATTAACAAAGGCCCATATCCTCGACAGTAAGCATAGAGTGGGGGAACCTGCACTTCCTGTTGTTCTTTGTAACCCCTGTTCCCTGGTGCTCTCCTGTGGACCAGGACATCTTGTGGCACACCTGCTCCTGCTACGGGGAGGCTTCAGCTCATCAAGTCACTTACACAGAGCCTGTCTGATGCTTCTGATGTGTAGCTTACTTAGGAGCATTCCTAATGCTCCTAAGTAAGTTGATTTGAAATAAACAATGGTTTCTTTCAAATCAACTTACATGTTACCACTCTCACTCCCTGGTAGTTCTGAGATGTGCTTCTTTGCTGACACTGCTGACAGCTGGATACAGCTACACTGAGAAACACGAGACCCGAGTCCTGTCTGCTTTGGCTTTACGGGTGGCGACGGATGTGTAAAAGAAACGCAAACACAAACAAGGCAAAGCTTGTCCTCTGCCTAAGGAGATGCGATGTCCAGCTGCACTGAACACCCTGCCCATTATTCAGAGCTACATTCCAATGATGTTCTACCCCAAGAATATGCTAGAGGGACCCAACCACCACTGAGAAAGAGCCGCCTCTGGCTAGCACCCTAAAATAGGAAGTCTGGCCTTCAGAGCCCCCAAGGCAGGCAGCTGTCCTGGCCGGACACTCTGGCTTGGCAGGCTGGCCCAGGGGAAGCACAGGCTTCTGGCAAGGACCTGATGGAGAAGATGCCATGCACTCACCAGCCATGTTTCGCCTTCCTCTGCCTCTTCTCAGGCTCCTCTGGGAATGGCACGGACAGTGCTGACAGACAGGCTGCCAAGGATTGCCTTACCATTTATAGAATCCTCTCCTACACACCCCAATTAGAATTCTAATGAAGTGGGCGAGGCACCAGGTCATTCCTGTAGTGCCTGTAAACGTTTCACTTACGACAGACTTGTCACCCAATGGACGTGCATCATGTTTGTACAAGACCAGCTTGGGGAGAAGGGGGCAGATAATAAAGAAACTCAAATAGTTCGCTTTTATAATTTTATAAAATGATGGACTATTTCCTGGATTGTAGGGTTTAGGAAATGATGACATGCTTTTCTTGCTGATCCTGGGAAGTTCTCTCTGAATCAAAGAAACGTCTCAGCAGAACCCAGAAGAAGAAAATTGTGAGGTCCTTTCTCATGATACACATGTATTAGCATCTTCCACTTGCACAGGGAAGTGAGACACATCACAGTTCATTTGTTTAGGGTTGTAGTGTGGCATAAACCATCATTTGATTTGGAATTAGAAGCCGTTGGTTCTGATGCTGGCCGAGCCCTGGGTGGTCTCCAACCCTTGAAGCCCGGAAGCCTTGCTTGTGGTTGGGGATAATCACTCCCACCCCTCTCAACTCACAAAGCTGTGGACACGATCACATGAGATGGTGCGCATGGGAAGTGTATGCATATCTACCAGGGCAGGTTAAACTGAGATCACACTTGGCGTTGAATGTCAGTTTCAGTCCAGATTTGGGGGAAAATTGTTGTTTTTAATGAGGCAGCAGGAACAGCCTCTAACCTTATGCTTCTGCCATGTCTTTCTCAGACTGCAGGTTCCGTCACTGACCCTCACTGGGCCCACCTTGACATCAGTTTAAAGAAAGGGTGTGGAGTGGGGAGAAGCTCTGACATTCTACGTGTTTTTGTTTGCTTGCTTGTTTCTAAGGGCGTATGTTTTTTCAAAGTTCCTATTATCGATATTTACAAATATCAAGGTTTACGATGGACAAAGGAGTGAGTATATATTTTTTAAAGTGAGGCTTCAAGGATTCACGAGAGAACAGAAATGCCCCAAGGCTTTCCCCAGCATCACAGTGTGGAAGGAAGATTGAGCACCATGATGACAAGGTTGGGTCTTTAGAGAGAAGTGAGAATGTTTGATCTCGAGAAAGAGAAGACGGAATAGGCAGGTGGCTTGGAAAATTGAAAAAGAGAAATCAGTGTCCTTTCTCCGTCCTTTAGGCCCCTACAGCCTTTTGTACATCTTAGAACCTCTATTACCGTATGTATCCACTGCACTGGAACTATCTGTTTATATATGTCCCCATCTCCAGACTGAGCTCCTTGAAGGTACAGGTTGCATATCATTCAAATCTTCTTCTCAGAATCTAGCACAGGGCTTGACACGTGGCTGGAACATGCACATTCTTGAATAAGTGAATCAATATCACTGTAAAGATGGGAATCATAACTACCGATTTAGTGCTTACTAATAATAACTAATTGATTTAGTGTTTACTGTGGGCAGGCACTGGCTAAACACTTTACATATATTAGCTTTTCTCATCTTCATAGCAACCCTATGCAAAGGGGCTATTATTATTTCCATCTTATGGGGGACAGAGAGATTAACCTGAGTCTCCAACCACGAGATTCATACCCATATGTAAATGGCTCCAGAGCCTGTGTTTGCTTAACCTTGGAGGTCAGCGCCTAAATGAGGCAGCCTTTCCCAGGCCTCTGGGGCTCTAAGACAGCTGGCTGTGCACCCATGCCAGGCAGAATGGGATGCACTGTTGGCTCTGGCAGATGACTAAGAAAAGAGCAGAGGGTAGAGAGGGACATGGAAAGAGCCTGGACCCAAGAGGAGACTCATGTGTGGTCTTGGCTCCTACCACGGGCACTAGCTGTGACTCTGGGCGAGGCCTCATGACGCCAAGTTCATCCTGCCAGAAAGCTGGAGGACAGCTCCATGAATGGCATGGGATGAATGGGTGTGAAAGTGCTCTGTATGCTTCTGTGTGTGGTCTAAAGGAAAGGAGGGGTTTTGCTTATTATTGTGGTTGTTGCTGTTGGCCTGGGAGCCAAGGAAAATCAGACCCCGGGCACTCCTTTCAATGACCTGACAAGGAAAGCTGCAGAGGTGACAGGGAGGTGGTGCTCCCCTTAAAAGGGAACCTGAAGACACACAGTCTTGGCTCTGCCAAGTCTCCTCACCTCTCGTAGGCTTTGTTTCCTCAACTGTAAAACTGAGTGGAATTGCTCTGAGAATCAAAGGAGACAGCAAGTGTAAAAGGTTCAGCACGGCGCTGGGCACAGCCCAGTGTAAAAAGTTAGTATTAATAATATTATATTATTAGCCTGGCCGGGTGCGGTGGCTCGCTTCTGTAATCCCAGCACTTTGGGAGGCCGAGGTGGGACCTTGAGGTCAGGAGTTTGAGACCAGCCTGGGGAACATGGTAAAACCCTGTCTGTACTAAAAATACAAAAATTAGCCAGGCATGATGGTGCGTGCCTATAATCCTAGCTACTCGGGAGTCTGAGGCACGAGAATCACTTGAATCCGGGAGGTGGAGGTTGCAGTGAGCCGAAATCGCACCACTGCACTCCAGCCTGGGTGGCAGAGTGAGACCTTGTCTCAAAAAAAAAAAAAAAATCATATTATTAGCCTGAAAGGCCCCGAGTGCCACAGGTTTTGCAAGGGGTCCCACGGGTTTGGACAGTGGTGTCCGACCACTGACCACCTGGTCTTCTCTAGGAGGGTCTGTAGCTGGTCTTGATCCCAGAGTAATGTAGTAAAAAGACCCCTGAGTTGGAGTCAAAAGACCTGGATTCAAAGCCAGGCTTTGGAACTTGTCCACTGTGTGATGTTGGCTGAATTCTTTTACTTCTTTGGCCCTCGGTATCCTCATCAGCATGATGCACACACCTTCCAGGGCTGTCATGAGGCTGAAAGCCATGGTGACATTGCGGGTATGATGCTCCTCTGTAGACAGGCTAGTGTTACACAGCCAGCTTCCCTTCTACCCTCCACAGCTCCTCCAGCCAAGCTGCCTGTAGTCTTTGCAACTGACCAGCAGTAGGGCCCCAGTAAGAGTCTGCCCTGAGTTACTTAATGTTGGGTACTGGAGGATTGCACCATGGCCGCAGCCACAGCCCCAGCCTGCAGGCAGACTGTAATTTGCAGCTGTGTCACAATTTCAGCTAAATGATTTTCAATTCATAGGTGGAGCCACCCAGCTACACACAGGATGAAATTCCTGCTTGGCCACACTCTGCGCCTCAGACCGCAGTGAAGACGAAGCATGCAGATATGGGCTTTTAAAAGAAGCCAATTGATCACTTGCCTTTTCTCTCCCTCTAATTAAGGGATTTAGGGTTGCTGAAGATTTCACAACATGTGTAGAGACAGAGAATCTTCTGAGAAATCATCCAGCCCTTTCCAGCACGACACATGTCTCTTGACAACTCCTAAGATGGGGGATTTTTTTTTTTTTTTGAGATGGGAGTTTCACTCTTCTTGACCAGGCTGGAGTGCAATGGCACAGTCTCAGCTCACTGCAACCTTCGCCTCCTGGGTTCAAGCGATTCTTCTGCCTCAGCCTCCCATCTAGCTGAGATTATATGCACCTGCCACCACGCCTGGCTAATTTTTGTATTTTTAGTAGAGATGGGGTTTCACCATGTTGGCCAGGCTGGTCTCAAACTCCTGACCTCAGGTGATCCACCCGCCTTGGCCTCCCAAAGTGCTGGGATTACAGATGTAAGCCACTGTGCCTGGATGGATTTTACACTTCTCAAAGCAGCCAATACTTGTACTTGAGAAGCTCTGGCTATAACATTAATTTCTAGGATGGTTCTGTTTAAGGCCTATCTTCCCCCCATTTCATATGAGCTCCAGGAGGGCAGGGATTTTGTCTGTACCAGTCACTGTTCCCTCCCAGTGTTTTGCAGGTGGGCTCTCACAAAACTCAGGTTTGGCCAGGTGCAGGGGCTCACCCCTGTCATCCCAACACTTTGGGAGGCTGAGGTGAGAGCATCATTTGAGGCCAGGAATTCGAGACTAGCCTGGGCACCATAGTAAGACCTCATCTTTACAAAAAACAAACACATAAATGAATAAAAAAACTTGGGTTAAAGTGCACTAAAAGGACCAGAAAAGTCTTCCTTATTTGAACTGAACATTTATTTCCCTAGAGCTTTCACCCACTGACCTTCACTGCTCCCCTAGACACTCACAGAGACCACATAAAACAAAGCTGTCTTTTCCTTGGTCCAACAATGATTGTGTTCTCCCCCAAGTCTGGCAAATACTCTTTCCCTCCCAAAAGTTTTCACTTTTCTAGGTCAAACGTTCAGTTTCTTCAGCCATTCCTGGTGAGTCAAGTTTTGGAAGCCACCATGTTGTCCTCAACTATCTGTTGCCCTGTGGATTGTGCCATGTCCTTCCTCTGGGAAGGGAGCTTCAGTGGCTCCTCATGGCCTAATAGAGCCCCAATTCCTTAGTTTGGGTGTTGAGACCTTTCAGAATATGTTCAATCTTAATTCCATTATTTTATATTACTTTTTTTTTTTTTTGAGACAGTGTCTCGCTCTGTCGCCCACGCTGGAGTGCAGTGGCGTGATCTTGGCTCACTGCAAGCTCCGCCTCCCAGGTTCAAGAGATTCTCCTGCCTCAGCCTCCCGATTAGCTGAGATTACAGGTGCCCACCACCATGCCCGGCTAATTTTTGTATTTTTAGTAGAGACAGGGTTTCACCATGTTGCTCAGGCTTGTCTCGAACTCCTGACCTCAGGTGATCCACCTGCCTCAGCCTCCCAAAGTGCTGGGATTACAGGCAGAAGCCATCACACCCAGCCATTTTCTACTACTCTTACATGAACTCCCCTGCTCAGTGATACATGTCTAATTCTTTCTCCTGGAGCCCAACATGATGCTCCCTCACTGTACACCTGTTTGTAAAGTGTTCCTGCCTGGGACAGCCACCCTATTCCTTATGTATGCAGGTCTCATTGTCACCAAGTCCCAAAGCAAAGCTCCATTCCTCTTGAGCATCCCAGTGTGTTGTTGTGGAAAGAGGAGTTGTAGCAAAACAAGCAAACCCAGGTTTAAGTCTCAGGGACACAGTCTAGCTGTATGAACCACCTCACTGGGCCAGTCACTCAACCTTTCTGAGCCTAAGTTTTCTCCTCTGAAAAATGGGCATGATGATACCTGTCCTGCCCACCCTGTAGAGTGTCGTGTGGAATCATGAGATGACACAGGTAAAAGCCCCTTGTAAAAGACAAAATGCATTGACTTCTTACCTCCGAGCCTTTCAAACATGCCTGTGCCACCTGTCAGATGCCTAACTCTATTAGTGCCATTCCTAGGAACACCCTCAGAGTACAAGGTGCTCCGGGAGGTGAATACACGTGTCCATGTGGTGGGCCACCATTCCTGAAGCCATGCTCTGTGCTGAGAGCTCCACATTGGTCAATGTGAAGCCGCCCTAGGGTATAGGTATTAGCATTCCATTTTCTACATAAGAAACCAGAGGCTTAGAGAGGCTAATAAACTTGTAACACAGCCTACAAGTGGCCACAACAGGATCTGAACCCAGTTCTTTCTGACAGCAGAGGCCCTGGTCTTAACTACTATGCCTCACTATCTCTAATGAATCCTTCAATTCAGTGAAACCTGTGCCTCTGGGAGGCTCACAATTGGGTTTTTTGTTTAGGAGACTGTTGTTACGGATCCTGGTGATGATGATATTCATAATTCAGGGCTGAACAGGGAGGCAGGGCCCCTTGGGGACTCATATCAAAGCCTCAACTTTAATGTGTTTATGCCCAAATTTTCCATTTAGGCCCAAACAAATAAAACAAAATAAAACCCTGAAGGAAGAATAGACGTCTACAAGTCCCTTATAAATCACGGCAGTGCTCGTTTCGTAGAATGCCTGCTAGTATGAGGCACTGTGTACGTTAACAGACCCCGAGTCCTTGACAGACAAGAAGAAAGAGAGCTTAAAAGACAAACTGATAAGAATTCAGAGGAGAGATTGATGGTGATTATGGAGATAAGAAAGGGCTGTTTATTGAGGGGGAGGCATTTTAGGGAAATACTCAAGGAAAAGATCATAGAGAGAGGCATCCCAGGCAGGAGGGAGAGTGAGGGAGGAGCGGATGGAGCCCTTCCTGGGGAAAGGCTGCCAATGAGTTTATCTGGAGTACTCGGTGCCTGGGGACAGCGGGAAAAAGCTGCATACGTCTGGCTCCAGCTTTAAGCGCGCAGGGGACACTCAATCCTCAGGAACCAGGAAGGTATAGCTGTGTGCAGCCCTGGCTCAACACCTAAGGCCTCTGGTTGGAAGGATTGGGTTAACTGCCAAGTTGTCACGAGGCCATTTGTGACCACGCAGCCGAAAAACCAAACAGAGAGAAGAAAAGCCACAGCCTATTGTCTGTGGTCTCTGAGGCCACAACCTGGAGGGCCAAGTTGTGGCTTGCATAAAAGCACATCAGAGGGCCGGGTGCGGAGGCTCACGCCTGTATTCCCAGCACTTTGGGAGGCTGAGGGGCATGGATCACTTGAGGCCAAGAGTTCAAGACCGGCCTGGCCAATGCGGTGAAACCCCGTCTCTACTTAAAGTACAAAAATTAGTCGTGCATGGTGGCGCATGCCTGTAATCTCAGCTACTCGGGAGGCTGAGGCATGAGAATCGCTTGAACCCAGGAGATGGAGGTTGCAGTGAGCCGAGATCGCATCACTGCACTCCAGCCTGGGCGACAGAGCGAGACTCTGTGTCAAAAAAAAAAAAAAAAAAGAGAACAGCAATGACAATGGGCAGGTCACTGGGATTGTGTAAATTCTCAGAAAGGAAATGGACCAGAGAAGTCATCCAACCCAACCTCTTCATTTGACTAATGAGGAAACCCAGGTCTACAAATAAAAAATTTGCCCAAGTTCACAGAATAACTGACCCGGATCCCAGAGCCGGAAGAGAGTGTAGGAGTCATTTTGTCCAACTTCCTCCTTTTACCCATGAAAACACTAATGTCCAAATCATCTGGAATGAGAATGCAGGCTTTCCAGCTCTCTGTGTATGGTTCTTTCTGCTATGTCATTTTAGTCACTTCCTTTCTTTCATTTGAGAAACACATCTTAGAAAGTCCTATGGGGCCAGGTATGCAAGGTTAGGGAAATATTTTTCAACATGATCAATAACAGCAAATGTTGTTGTTAACATAGTTAAGCATTTGTACAATAAGTACAAAGCTTGCTTTATACTCACCGTTTTATCTGATCTTTACAAGGCTCCCAGGAAGCAGATATGAATATACCTGCCATTTTACAGGGAGAAAGTATATGCCCAGATAGGTTGTCAGCTCTTTAAAGACAATGTATTATTTTATTAATACTTGTTTGGAAAAAGAAAAAGAAAGCTTACTTTTCCTTCTTGTTATGTCATTTATGCATATTCATTATAGATACTAGAAAATAGAGCAAAACAAAATCATAGCATACAAACCATTTGTATTTTGTTGTACGGCATGCTAGGGGTTTCAAGTTCTTAGACTCAAATTTAAACTTTTGGATTCCAAATTTCATGTTCCTTCTCCTTCACCTCATGTTAGACACTAACAATTATAAATTTTAGTGGGGGGAAATGATTAAACCACATGTCTGCTGCATGCTTTACAGCAACTTGTACATATCGTACTTGGCTTTGTTTTTGCCATCAGAAATAGTATAAGCCGCTTGAGTATAAACGCAATTTATGAAGAAATCGAAAGGTTTGGGAAAGGGTGAAGGGCTACCCAGGGGAGTGTGGTGAATGAATGGGGAAGGCAGAGCTGGGAGTCTGATGGCCTCAGGATCCCTCTCTAACCCACGCCCTGCGGCTCACCCACTGGTAGATTCAGAACAAGGTGCTTCCTGTGCGAGCCATTTTCTCAGTTTACTAAAGTGACAAGAGAACTGAAGGCTGAGCATGGTAGCTGGCTGGGCGTGGTGGGTCACGCCTCTAATCCCAGCACTTTGGGAGGCCGAGGCGGGAAGATCACAAGGTCAGGAGATGGAGACCATCCTGGCTAACACGGTGAAACCCCATCTTTACTAAAAATACAAAAAAAAAAAAAAAAAATTAGCTGGGCGTGGTGGCGGGCGCCTGTAGTCCCAGCTACTGGGGAGGCTGAGACAGGAGAATGGCTTGAACCCAGGAAGCAGAGCTTGCAGTGAGCGGAGATTGCACCACTGTACTCCAGCCTGGGTGAAAGGGCGAGACTCCATCTCAAAAACAAAAAACAAAAAGTAAAACAAAACATCAAAAAAGCAGTTGGTTTACCCAGGCCATACCTCTAGTGGCTCCTCTCCCAAGGTAACTGATGAGTAAACAGATTTTCCACTGATGTCTCAAAGAAAAAAAAGAGTAGAAGGAGAGGAAAACTATTTATTCTGGAGTCCATTCATCCTACTACTCTATGTTTATTATGTCGTTATAGGCTAAAGCTCTCTTTAGACATTTGGGGAAATTTAAAACAACACATTTTATGGAAAGCAATTTGTATTAAATCCTGAAAAGTGTAAATTTACCAATGCATATACTAGGATGATCCATAACATTGGTTAAAGAAGTATTTTAGAAAAATGTAAGCAATCAATAATAAAAAATTTATTAAAGTGTGACAGATCCACACATAATCTATGCAGATACTTTAAAAATATATAGATATCTTAATTATTTGACACTGAAAGATGTTCACAATATCTTTGTACAAGAAATTGCATGTATAAATGAAGATATTTAAATAAATATGTATTGATGTGATACACACACACACCTGCTCCACAGGAAAAAGTATCTAGTTCATATTTATTAGAATATGAACAGTGGTCTATGTGGTGTGATTAAGACATAATTTTTATTTGATTCTGTATGCAATTCTACATTTCTTCTCTTTTTTTATGATGGGGACATGTTTTTATAATCAGAGAAAAAACATATTTCCCTTTTAAAAACATGATACTAACACAGAAAAACATTAATAATATGTTGTAATATAAAAAGTAGATTTAAAAAGTTTATTTGTAGTATGATCCAGTTTTGATATATCTTTATGGCAAATGTAGGAATTTTAAAAGCATAGAATGTTGTGCAACAAAATACAAATGGTTTGTATTCCTTGATTTTGTTTTGCTGTATTTTCTAGTGGTTTATAATAAATATGCATAAGTTATGTAACAAGAAAGAAAAGTAAGTTTTCTCTTTCTTTTTCTAAACAACTATTAATAAAACCAGATTTGTGCCAAAAATAAAGATATAAAATAAGATAAATATGGTCTTGCCTTTAAAGAGTTGACAACCGAAAAGAAGAGATGAAAGCAAAATGTATGTGACTAAAATATGCAAGAAGGCTCAGTAGGTTTACCTATTGAATTGATAAAAGATTCATGAAAGAGACGACATTTGGGACAGGCCTTAAAAGATAGATATGAATAAACAAAAATTGGAGGAGTCCAGGTGCAGTGGCTCATGCCTATAATCCCAACACTTTGGGAGGCGAAGGTGGGAGGATTGCTTGAGGCCAGGAGTTCGAGACAGCCTGAGCAACATAGCAAGACCCTGTCTCTGCAAAAAGACAGGTGAGTGTGAGTGGTGGCTCATACCTGTAATCCTGGCACTTTGGGAGGCCAAGGTGCATGGATCACTTGACGTCAGGAGTTCAAGACCAACCTGGCCAACATGGTGAAACCCCATCTCTACTGAAAATACAAAAATCAGCCGGGTGTGGTGGCACACACCTGTAATTTCAGCTACTCAAGAGGCTGAGGCAAGAGAAATGCTTGAACCCGGGAGGTGGAGGTTGCAGTGAGCTGAGGCCATGCCACTACACTTCAGCCTGGGCTGTGACAGAGTGAGACTCCTTTAAAAAAAAAAAAAAAAAATTAGCCATGCCTGGTCGCATAAGCCTGTGGTCTCAGCTTCTCGGGAGGCTGAGGGAGGAAGATTGCTTGAGTCCAGGAGTTCAAAGCTGCACTAAGCTATGATAGTGATACTGCACTCCAGCCTAGGCGATAGAGCGAGACCTCATCTCTAAAAAAGAAATTGGAGGGAAAGGGATTTGTATCAGAGAAAAGGCATTCCTGCAGCAATGTGAGTATGTCCAGGGAGCAGCATACACAAAGGGCTTGGTGACATATCGCCACCTCCCTGATTCACTTCCTGCCGCACCTACCTACTGTCATGCTTACTACCAAGCTCTTCCATATCTTTTCAAATAAGGCAGCTATGAAAAAGTGCAAAGTATGCATTTTCCATTCTGATTTTATCTTATTACATACTGAATTAGGTAAATAAAAATGGATTCAGCACTAGAGGACTTTAGTGAATTATTTAATAGTTTGAGAATGTATTGGCTGTTGGCTGGATTTAATTAGAAATTTTGGTCTTCACCAGATGGATCCAACACTAAAGGCTCTTTAAGTCTCAAGGACAAAGTTGGAATTTCCCATGCAGTAAATTTAGATCTTCGTTTCATGCATCCATAAAGACAGCTATAAATTTCAGAGGCCCAAGGCTTGTCCCAGCATAACATGGGCCTTCACAACAAGTAAATAAATAACTTGAAACTGGAAGGGTGACTTCAAATGATGCTACCACCCTCTCTACTGGAAGACAGTGTGGACAACAACAGGAAGTGGAGGATGTCTGGGAAACGTCTCTGGTCACCTCTTTGGAAAGCAAAAGTCTGGAAAGTCCAAACAAGGTTTGCTCTTAGAGATATGGCAATATTTATAGGACTTGTACACAGGAAACATGAAAGGAAATGGAATTATTCCTTTATGTTCCTTACAATATGAGACCAGATAAGTTCCTAGCCACTCTCTACTTTCAACAGGCCCCAAACACTTGGTCTCTCCTGACCTTCTACACTGTAGCAAAGTGGCTGGGAGGACTTCCTCTGGCTCAGAGTCTCTGTCCTGAATGTTTACATCTTGGTAAAACTGTGGCAGCAAGTTAGATACCTGAGAACTTAGAGTCTAGCTAGACTAGATTCTTGGGTCTGTCACTAACTCATTTGGAGACCTTGGGAAATGGTTTGGCCTAAGTCAGTAGGTCTCAGCCTTTGCTTCAACCTTCACATTATCTCATGTTCTATATGTGCTCACCAGAAACACCTCTCAGGCCAGGTGCTGTGGCTCATGCCTGTAATCCTAATGCTTTGGGAGGCCTAGGTGGGAGCATCACTTGAGCCCAGGAGTTTGAGGCTGCAGTGAGCTATGATCATGCCACTGTACTCCAGCTTGGGCAACAGAATGAGACCCTGTCTCTAAAACAAAACAAAACAAAAACATCTTTCATTAGACATAGATTGTCAATGAGTGTGGCCACCTCCACGCATTTTCTGATTCTCACTGAGATCTCTGAACAAGATGATCTTAGTGTGTTTCACGCATCCCCCTCCTTGCACTTTTAAGTCTTAGGATTCTAGATATAAATTCTCATCAAAAGAGCTTTGAAAAAAACAGGCTCCTACACAATTATGCTTGCATATACTTAGAAAGAAAGATTTAAAAGAAGATGTTAACAGTTGTTTTCTCTGGGAAAGGAACCTAGGGGCCTAATTGTTAAGGAAAAAAAGAGACTGACTCTTCACCGTATACCCTTTATTTTATTTTATTTTATTTTATTTTATTTTATTTTATTTTATTTATTTTATTTTATTTTATTTTATTTTATTTTATTTTATTTTATTTTATTTTATTTTATTTTATTTTTATTTATTTATTTTTTTTGGGAGAGGGCCTGGCTCTGTCACACAGGTTGGAGTGCAGTGGTATGATCTCAGCTCACTGGAATCTGCACCTCCTGGGCTTAAGCAATCCTCCCACCTCAGGCTCCCAAGTAGCTGGGACTACAAGTGCATGACATCATGCCTGGCTAACCTAGTAGAGAAAAATAAAATAAAATTAAAAAATATTTTTAAAAAGAAAAAACAAAAAGGGAACCTCTGGAAGAAGAGTATGGCTGAAGTGGACCTACAGGCTAAGTAGGTAGACAACTAAGAAGGTCTGTTTCCTCCCTTATTCCCTCCCTTCCTTTTCTAAACCTCTTTACTTTCTTGGAAATGACCTTCAGTGCCTGCCACGAACCAGCCACCATGATTGAGTGGGTATTAATTCAGTTTCCTGTACTTTAGTCATTCACACAGCACCTTCTTGAGTTTTGCCACATCTGCCCACCAGCTACATCATAATTAACTTAAAGTTTTTCTTTAAATTAACTCCCTTTCCCTTTTTTCTTTAACTTACCAGCTGGGCGCGGTAGCTCACACCTGTAATCCTAGCACTTTGGGAGGTTGAGGCGGGTGGATCACCTGGGGTCAGGAGTTCGAGACTAGCTGGGCCAACATGGCAAAACCCCATCTTTACTAAAAATACAAAAATTAGCTAGGCGAGGTGGTGCGTGCCTATAATCCCAGCTACTTGGGAGGCTGAGGCAGGAGAATCGCTTGAATCCAGGGAATGGAGGTTGCAATGAGCCAAGATTGCCCCACTTTACTCCAGCCTGGGTGAAAGAGCGAAACTCTGTCTCAAAATAAATAAATACATTAATTAATTAACTTACCTAACTACTTTAGTCTTGCACTAATCAATAACATTCATAAAATGATTTGGTTTGTCAATTATTTTTCTAATGCCTATGAAACTAAACATTGACTATTAGAATTTAAAATGTCTGCCCCCGTGTCTGGGTTACACGTGCCACACTCTGGAATTCACTAGCAATAACTCATTCGGTCCCTGCAACTACTCTCTGAGTAGAAATTATCTTCCTCATCCTACACATGAGAAAACTAAGCTTCAGAGGGGTTAAGTAACTTGCCCAAGGAGACAAAACTAGCAAAGGCAGAGTAAGACTTAAAACCACTCTTGTCTCCAAGGCCTGCATTCTTTCTTTTTATTTTCTTTTTAATTTTTTTTTAGACAGAGTCTCACTCTGGTGCGCAGGATAGATTGCAGAGGTGCGATCTCGGCTCACTGCAACCTCTGCCTCCCAGGTTCAAGTGATTCTCCTGCCTCAGCCTCCGGAGTAGCTGGGATTACTGGCGCCCGCCACCACCCCAGCTAATTTTTTTGTATTTTTAGTAGAGACAGGGTTTCACCATGTTGGCCAGGCTGGTCTCGAACTCCTGGCCTCAAGTGATATACTCACCTCAGCTTCCCAAAGTGCTGGGACTACAGGCGTGAGCCACCACACCCCGCCCCTGCATTCTTTCTTCTAATATTGCCCTAAAGTGGAAGGAAGGGAAAAAAAAGAGTAATACAAAAATGAGACCCGTCCACAGAGGTTCAATGCATTTGATCCAGCCCACTGGTTCAGGCCCTGCAACAAGCCAAGCCCCAGCATCCATTCTTGCCTCCCTGGCAGATGTCTTGCTTCCTCCACCACAAACAAGTCCTGTGTGGTGCGAACTTGGAGACTGATTTGTGTTTGCCAACTGGTGGCTTTGCTCTGAGCGCAGATCCCCCCGCCATGGCTCTGCTGGTGCCAAGGCTCCTAGAAGCCTTTCTAAGCCTTGCCCTTTCAGGTTCCTAACCCTGCCTTCTCACTCCACCATCCGTCAGATCCCACCTTTGTGCTACCTTCCTGCCCAGGCAGACAGGCCAAGGCTTTGCCCTCATGTTGGGGCTTGCTATTTTAGGTAGTGGATTTATGAGAGAGGGCGTTCATTCTGTAAAGTTTGAAAGCATCCTTTTATCTTCTCTTGTTACTAACACCATCTAGTTGCCTAGCACAGAGAAGACACAGAGAAGACACATTCGCTTGGCAAAGGAGGGAAGGATTCTCTGCCACCTCCCCCTTGGCCCCTTCACCTTTGGTCCCCCTACCAAAGAGGAGGCTGGGGTGTGGTCCTTCCGTGAAACTGAGAGAGCACGATTAGGGCCATGTGAGGACCTGGACTCAGTCTGCCTCCCTGCTGCATTCTCTGCCTGCCAACAGTCCACTCTGAGTTTGGTGGTAGAGGTAAGGGGTGGAAGTAGAGCGTTAGACGTAATAGAGCAAAGGAACTAATACTTATTATGGGCCTACTGTTTGTCAAACACTGCTGTTGATCCTTCATATCTGTTACCTCATCTAATACTCTCAACAACCTACAACCATAACAAACAGGTATTATTAGGCTCATCTTACAGATTAGTAAATCCAACTCTGGAAATCTAAATCAATTACTTAAGGCCACACAGCTACTAAAAGGCAGAGCCAAGATTTAAGCCCAGTACTGATTCCAAAGTCCACACTGTTTTCACTATACCAGGCCACCTCCTCTATGGATGAAACATAGTTACAAGGGCACTTAGAAATTATTTAGTTCAAAGGCCAGGTGTGGTGGCTCATGCCTGTAATTCCAGCACTTTGGGAGGCCGAGGTGGGCGGATCACTTGAGGTCAGGAGTTTGAGACCAGCCTAGCCAACACAGTGAAACCGTGTCTCTACTAAAAATACAAAAATTAGCCGGGCATGGGGGCAGATGCCTGTAATCCCAGCTACTTGAGAGGCTGAGGCAGGATAATCTCTTGAACCTGGGAGGCAGAGGTTGCAATGAGCCGAGATGGTACCACTACACTCCAGCCTCAGTGGCAAAGCAAGATTCTGTCTCCAAAAAGAAAAAAGAAAGAAAGAAAGAAAGAAAGAAAGAAAGAAAGAAAGAAAGAAAGAAAGAAAGAAAGAAAGAAAGAAAGAAAGAAATTGTCTAGTTCAGTATTTCCCAAGTTGTATGCTTCGGAACACCAGTTCCTCAGATATAAGGAGAGGGAGGCCAGAGAATTTTGGAGAAACTTGGCCTAAATGAAATTAGATAGATGTCTTTACTGCAGGCCTTCTCAGAGCCTTTAATATTCAAATGCACATATGAATCTCCAAGAAGGAGTTACAGTGTGTCACATCACCCCAGTTACCCAGGGAGACTGTTTGTTTTGGCTGCAAAATATCCAAGAAACTAGTGTTTTACAGAACAGTTCGGAAAACACTTATCTGTCAGACTCCTTTATTTTACATATAAAAAGGGAGGCAGGAGACCCGCCCAAGTGATATGACAAGCTAAAGCACCATATTTCCAAACACACCACAACCTCACTCCTGTCCTGCTTTCCTGTCCCAGTAGAGAGACTCTGCTCATTTCATCAGTCATTAAAGAATGCAGTAAATACCTACCACGTGCCAGGTCTGGGGGTAAACAAGACATCATAACAAGATACAGTGGAGAGGCCACCACCTGGGAGTGTGGTGGTGGCATTAAGACTGGGGCTGCACGTGGGACTGTACCTGAACCAGGCTTAAGGGGGTAGGGAAGCCTTCCTTGGGGACTGTGCAGGTCACAGGATGTCAGCTCCTGTGAGGTGCCAGCATGTTTCCTGAGCATCTGAAATAACTGCCCCCTCACCCACACATCCATCATAAACAGGAGGGCCATTTTGAGACCAGTCCCATCCTCAAAACTCTTCTTCCTCTTGTGACAGTAAAAGAAGCAATTGGCATGAATACAGATTCCTTTTTAATTCTGCTACCATTGGATGAAATCTCTCTGCAGTGTAGGCTAAAGAGATTCCTGAGGTGCCTGACCACAGAATGATCGCAGAATGTCCGTGCAGAAAGAGATCTCAGTGACCAGCTAACCCAGACCATGTTACAAGTGGGGGAAGTGAAGCTGGAAGGGCTTGCCTTCATGGCCTTGTGGTCATGTCCGGTGTGTGTGCCTGATCTCTTGCTAACCCACAGTTTATGCTCAGAGTGGCACTTAAGCTCTCCGAAGCGGGAAGTCAAAATGTAGCATTTGTGAGCCTGCATCCCATACGTGGGAAATAGGTGGAGGAGGGGAAGCACCCACATCCTGTGCCCTCCTCCTAGGAGCCCTCACAGTAGATCTCAGAAAAGCAACACTAGCTGCCCCAGATTCCAGGAGGTGGGTACTGGGTCCTTGTATAGGTAGACTCTGTGTGTACATCACATTGTGCCCTTGGGTGGGTCAGTACTCTTCTCTGGGCCTGTCTCTTCACCTACAAGAAGAAGGAGGTTGGGTTTGGAATGTTTCCTTTAGCTGTAAAGTTCTGTGTATGCTCCAGGGAGGAGCTTGAAGTCAAAGACCAAAGCACCGCTGACACCACACATCCTCTCCTCTCAACGCCCGTGCTCTGCTATCTCAACCTTTTAGCCCCTGGACACTTACTGGGCACATTTTCTCTCTGGAGGTTATAGAACCTGCATTCAGGAGACTCAAAACCCAGGATGGGTGGGCCTTGCTGCTGGCAGAGTGTAAATTACAAAAACTTGCTGGGGCAAGAGTGGGCCTGATGGGGCTGCTCTGAGAGCTGCAGGGAGGGAGCATCAGCCTGCCCTGAGGGATTCTGGAGAGCATGGCCCCTCACCCACTGCTGGGCCTACAGCTGCAGCATGGACCAGGGCCAGGCCCCATAGCTACAATGCGGAGGTGTTGAAATGGTGCTGCCTGTTGCCTTGACAACCCAGCACATGGGCCCTAGCAGTTCTCAAGCATCCGTCCCTGAAAGCAGAGACCATCCTTCCATCCTGCACTTCCTCCTTACTTAGTGGGCATTTTTCTGAGGGCAGAGGTGGGTGTTAAGTAACCATCCTAGAGGAAGTGCCCTCTGCCGTTCAGAGTATCTCTGGAGTCCAGCTTTCAGTCCAGAAACTTGGCCAAAAGGATGGCCATGATGATAACAGATCTGGAAACCCCATTCTTTTGGGAATGTGTTAAGTCATTACCCTCCGGCTGGAGATGTGTAGCTGCCGGAAATGGGAGCATCATGGTTATGGTCTCCTGTGGTTGATGAAATATGTGACAGTGAAGAGGGGTTAGCTTGGTTTGGAATGGGCTCCCAGATAGAAGTACCTGGGAGTAGGTTTGGGCTAAACCTAAGGACAACACCTTCTAGAACTCGGATAAAGGGAAATAGTACTTCAAGTATAATGATTTATCTACTACCCCAGAAGGACAAATGGAGGCTTAATGACAGAGACGGAAATGTTCTGGAGACAATTGGCAGACTGGCCAGAGTCAGGAGTGTTATGTTAGATGGTTCATTAAGATCCTCTTTGGTGGGGCGCGATGGCTAATGCCAGCAATCCCAGCACTTTGGGAAGCCAAGGCAGGCGGATCGCTTGAGCTCAAGAGTTTGAGACCAGCCTGGGCAAAAAAGGAGACCCCTTTTCTACAAAAAATGCAAAAATTAGCTAGGCATGGTGGCACATACCTGTGGTCCTGGTTACTGGGGAGGCTGAGGTGGGAGGATGGCTTGAGCCTGGGAGGCAGAAGTTGCAGTGAACCTAGATCACACCACTGCACTCTAGCCTGGGTGACAGAGCTAGACCCTGTCTCAAAAAAAACTCCTCTTCAATGGGAGTCTTGAACCCTGGAAAATGCCTAATAGGAAGATGCTTGCCATTCCCAGCAGAGGTTGTCCAGAAGTGCCTTCCTTCCTCTAAGACCATTTGTACACTCGTCCAAACACCTCTGGATTCATCAACCCACATCGTTTCCCTCACCACTGACTCTGTCATTCCTATTTTAGGGGCTTTAGTAATAAACACCCTTGAAACCATTTCTTGAGATTCTAATTTATCTTTTCAGTCTTGAAATTCCTGAAGAATAAAGAAGCTCTCTTCTCTGTTGAGACATGTGGCTCCTAGGCTGGGATTTCAATACCAGGTGCTGCTTGGGGGGTTTTCAGTATATAATGTTTTCCACTTTCTTTACCAAGCTGGCATTATTTTATATTTGTGATTGGTGGCTCACAGATTAATCCTTCTGCTTTGATTTCTTGATGAGAAAATTAGAAATTTGGCTACTGTTCACTGCCATCTTCACTCTGCCGGGCTGTTTGGGAAGTGGAATGCTAATTTGGTGTTTTTCCATCTCTTCTAGAGAAAGTGAATAATGATTTAATTTACAGCAATATAAATGATCGGTGAGACCTGAGATACCCCCAAATCCCTACTTATTGAGAAGCTGCTCAGGGAAAGTGTGACTATTTCCCCTAGTAATATTCTGTGGTGCCTGTCCAAAAACTTATATAGGAGCATAATCAGACTTGAGCTCAGAAAATACGGGTTTTGGTCACGCTTCCCTCACTGTGATAAATCACTCAGCCTCTTTGGACCTTTGTTTTTTCGTCTGCAAAATGGAGATTGAGCCATTCATTTATTCAACAAATACCTGATTTCCTACAATGCACAAAGCACTGCGTGCAAGACAGTTCTCTAACTTATGAAATTGATGCATGCACGAATTGATTAAGTTATATCTGTAAAAAAGCTTTGTGAATTATGAAGTGCAATGTGAAGAGAAGGGGTTGTTATTTATAAGATGCGATCTAGAATGTTTTTCCACTTCTAATAAAGCCCATTGTGTCCAGTAGTAGGGAAGTCTTTCTGAGCAATGATCCCACTCCTTTTGTGGCTGATAGTACTGGAAATAAACAAGAACAGCCATTTTTTCTTCCTCCTGTCCTGTCCCTACCGAGAAGTCTACTTATTTGTGAGACCATGGAGGCCTGCCTTCTTCTCGGCTTGAGTTCTCATCAGTCAGCTGAAAGTCTGCTTAACTACTAGGACCTCTCTAGACACAAAGAAGCTCCACACATGTCCTAAGTTGGATAAGGCATCAGGGCCCTTTTTCTGTAGTGGGGAAGCTTAGGAAGGCAGCAAGATGTGGAGTGACAAACAAAAACAAAATACAAATAAAAGAAAAAAAATCACAGAAATTTCTTAAAGAACTAATAGTAGATCTACCATTCAATCTGGCAATCCCACTACTGGATATCTACCTAAAGGAAAAGAAGTTATTATATCAAAAAGACACCTACACGTGTATGTTTATTGCAGCACAATTCACAATTGCAAAGATATGGAATCAACCTAAGTGTTCATCAGCCAATGAGTGGATAGAGAAAAGGTGGTACATATACACCACGGAATACTACTTAGTCATAAAAAAGAATGAAATAATGTCTTTTGCAGTAACTTGAATAGAGCTGGAGTCCACTACTCTAAGTGAAGTAACTCAGGAATGGAAAACCAAATACCATATGTTCTCATGTGTAAGTGGGAGCTAAGCTATGAGGATGCAATGGCATACAGAGTGACATAATGGACTTTGGTGACTCCAAAGGAGAGTGGAGAGGGTTTAAAAAAATGACATATTAGGTACAATGAACATTACTCCGGCGACAGGTGCACTAAAATCTCAGACTTCACCACTATAAAATTAATCCATGTAACAAAAACCATTTGTACCCCAAAGCTGTTGAAAAAAGAAATCATCACTCATACAAACATCTTTACAATTCTTTAGTGCCATAACTTTCACCTAGTTACTTAACTGATGAGCCTCCAGCTCCTTCTCTGTAAAATGAGGATTATAACCTATAGCCTACTCACTATGCAAAGCTGTTGTAAAGCTTCAATGAGACAATGTTGTGAAAACACATTATAGAATGAAAAGACCATGTACCAATGTCAGGGGTTTGTTCAGTGCTTACCACCTGAACTTGCATTAGCGATTGTCATATCTGCATGTCCCCATGCATCCAGATTACTAACATCGGCTTGGGCTACAACCACAAGTGATGGTATCTGATTTTATGATTGTTATCTATTTAAAGAGTTTCTAACACTTCTGGATATCTATGTACAACGCTTCTAAATACCTATGTAGAATCATTTTCCAGGCACAGAAGTTGAAAACTGATTTTACCTGACAGCCCAGCTGTATGGCAAATATTGCCCAATTCCTAGGAAGGGTAACTCTATTTACTTTTCCTATTTAAGCTACAATCATTCCAAAGTCATGGCCACCTACAGGTTTACAGATGTAACTTTATTTCCATCTGTACTGAGATATAATGAGAGTACTAAGCCCTAGCACCCCTCCTTGCAAAACCTCCTGGATATCTCCCCACAGTTAAATCTACTGACAGACAGGAATGATAACTTAGCATGTATAACACACTTGGAATTTATGACTTATTTCATCAGTTCTCCCTTAGACCCTCCTTTAGAAAGATGGTCAATAAGACACTGGTGAAGAAATCAGGTCCCAGGTGATGCCATGAGCATGATAAATCACTGTTTCCATGGATAAGACTTGTGTGATTAATTCCTCCACTAAAATCCTACAGAGTCGGTTGGTTTTGACATTAATAATAAAGGGGGCTGGGTCCAGTGGCTCACACCTGTAATCTCAGCACTTTGGGAGACCAAGATGGGAGGATCGCTTGAGCCCAGGAGTTTGAAACCAGCCTGGGCAACATAGCAAGACCCCGTCTCTACAAATTTTTTTTTTTTAATTAGCTAAGCGTGGTGGCACGTGCCTATAACCTCAGCTACTTAGGAGACTGAGTTTGAGTCCAGGAGTTTGAGGTTACAGTGAGCTATAATCATGCCACTGCACTCCAGCCTGGGCAACAGAGTGAGGCCCTATCTCAAAATAAAATAATAATAATAATAATAATGGGATCGTGAGAGCTTCATCCATGGAATCAATGAAACCAGTTGGTGCTGCCGGCCTTTCAGAACTCCACTGTTAATGATTTCTAGAGGCATTTTCCTCTAGCTGGTACAAACATTTCTCTCCTTCATAGACAGGTAACCTCATTTTCTCCAAGGTGGAACAGGGAGTTTGGGGTTCTGAGAAGGGAAGTGACTTGTGCAAAGTCATGAAATGAGCTGGCTGCAGAGCCAAGACCACAGCACTTGGCACAAAGTTGGTGCCCAAGAAATAATTGATGAACGAATGACTGTATGAACCCAAATCTGGAACTCACTTTTCTCCCCTGACTATCCTTTACAAGAAGCCACTCAGATTCCAGCCGCGTTTTCTCCTCTTCAGGGATGAAGTGGCTTTCCCTAAGCCTTACAAAGTCCTAGTCCTGGACTGTCCAATAAAATTGCCACATGCCACGTGTGGCCGTGAAACACTTGAGATGCAGCTGATTCAAATTAGAATGAGCTGTAAGTCAATCTCAAATTCTGAAGGCTTACTGTGAAAAAAACTAAATTATCTCATTATAACTTTTATATTGATGACATGTTAAAATGGCAATAGTTTAGATTAACTGGCTTATATAAAATCTAATAATATCATGAAAACTAATTGTTCCTGTTCCTTTTTACTTTTTAAAAAGGGCTACTGGAACATTTTAAATTCCATTTACAGCTTTCATTTATGGTTTGCATTCTCCTTCTCTTGGAAAGCACTGTAATCTAGTCTATAAAAGTTTTGGAAAAAGAATTACATACTGAATTGTTAACCTTTCAATAACAATTACTTCTTCAGGCTAGCCAAGAACCCAGGAAACACAGGTAAGGGTAATAATTTTGTTTTCAACACAAAAGAAACATTTCTCTTTACCCTTATCCTTTCCCTAAAGTTTCCACTGGACCCTCCTTAATTGTGTAACTGAAAAGCTGGGACACTCGCTGAGGTATTGGTAGTGGGCTGGCAGCTGGCTGGCCAGCCCAGGAGGTGGGATGCCTAATCAGAATAGCCACCACCCCCATCCCAGCTGCCACAGGCACAGACCTCCCGTGTGAACAGGGGAAGTGTTTTTCAGTATACTTTTGGTGGACAAGTTTTAATAAAACTAATTACTGTAATAGCTAACGTTTATATAGCACTTTACAATGTAGAAAAATACTTTCCCATATGTCACCACTTTTTTCTTTTTTTTTTGAGACAGAGTCTTACTCTGTCACCCAGGCTAGAGTGCGGCCTGATCTCGGCTCACTGCAACCTCTTCCTACTGGGCTTAAGTGGTTCTTCAGCCTGGGACTACAGGCATGAGCCACCAACATCCGGCTATTTTTTGTATTTTTTGTAGAGACAGGATTTTGCCATGTTGGCCAGGCTGGTCTTGAACTCCTGAGCTCAAAGTGATCTGCCTGCCTTGGCCTCCCAAAGAGCTGGGATTCCAGGCATGAGCCACCATGCCCGGCTTCCTCATTTGATTCTCATGGCAACTCTGTGATATGGGCATTACTGTGATCCTGTTTGACAGATAAGACACTAAACTCAAAGACGCAAAGAGGTTAAGAGGCTTGTTCATGATCACACAGCTTAAAAGGGATAGATCTGGTTTTAAGTCTTGGTCTTCTAATACAAGGACTTAGCTCTTATTTCAAGGTGTTTCCGAATCCGGTGTGTGAACTCTGACTGGCCTGACCTAGAGCTCAGTGACCTCAGGTTGTTCTTCTGCAGAACCTCTCTAGTGTAGATCAACAGTGAAGGAAGAAAGGAAAGATTCAAGAAGTAGTAGAGAAGAAAGAAACTCAGGTAAGGGAACACATGTCTTAAACCTTAAAGAGAAACTTCTCTACTGGCACACCATAATCCCCACTGTAATTACCTTCTATGCTGGGGCACAGAGAGGGAAGGGCTCTACCATGGCTAAATCCTTTTCTTTTTTTTTGACAGAGTTTTGCTCCTGTTGCCCAGGCTGGAGTGCAATGGTGTGATCTCAGCTCACTGCAACCTCCACCTCCAGTTTCGAGCGATTCTCCTGCCTCAGCTTCCCAAGTAGCTGGGATTACAGGCGCCCGCCACCACGCCTGGCTAATTTTTTGTATTTTTACTAGAGATGGGGTTTCATCATGTTGGCCAGGCTGGTCTCGAACTCCTGACCTCAGGTGATCCACCTGCCTCGGCCTCCTAAAGTGCTGAGATTACAGGAGTGAGCCACCACGCCTGGTCGGCTAAATCCTTATTGGTGTAAGTCCTACCTACCACTGGGAAAAAGGAGGTTTTATCCCCATTTGGGAGGTGAAGAAACTGAGTCTCAGAGGTCTTAAGTTATTGATGCCTAGTGTTCTACTATTGGAACGCTAAGCTTGTGGGAGTTATTTGTATCCTACTGCTCAAGGTCATCGCCAAGGTCTGATTTTTCACACAAAAAAATTTGTGACCTCCGGCATAAATGTGTTAAGTCCAATGTCCATTCCACCACCCTAAGTTGCTTTTGTGCATCAATATACAAATCACATGTATTTTTATTATCTCCATTTATTCTTGTTGTTATTAATTATTTCATAATAATATCCTTCTAGATCTTTGCATTTATTCTGCTTTGTTTGGCTTTTTAGGACACATTAGCATCTTTTAAAATACAATGTTTGTTTTCTATTTTTTTTTCTTTTATTTTTGAGACGGAGTTTCACTCTTGTAGCCGAGGCTGGAGTGCAATGGTGCGATGTTGGCTCACCGCAACCTCTGTCTCCTGGGTTCAAGCGATTCTCCTGCCTCAGCCTCCCAAGTAGCTGGGATTACAGGCACGTGCCACCACTGACGGTTAATTTTTTGCATGTTTGGTAGAGACGGGGTTTTGCCATGTTAGCCAGGCAGGTCCCAAACTCCTGACCTCAGGTGATCTGCTTGTCTCGGCCTCCCAAAGTGCTGGGATTACAGGCATGAGCCACCGTGCCTGGCAGTGTTTGTTTTCTGATCAACATACTTAAGGTTATAAATTTTACCCCAGATATTATTTTTGCTGCATCCATGGGTTTTGATATTTCCAGTACGTATAATAGTATCAAAACCTATTTCATTAATGATATTTCATGAATACCTTCATTATCATTCAGTTCTAAATATTTTATGATTTCCACTGGGTTTTCTCTCTAGCCCATGGATTATTTATAAGGATGATTTTTGCTGTCCAAAACTGTTACCTATTTTTTGAATAGATAATATGTACACATAAAACAAAATTCAAGAAATAAAAAATGCAGAAAAAAGTCTCTCAGAAGCTACATCTGTTTGAGCCCACGCATGTGACATAATGGAAAAGGCAAAACTGTAGGGACAGAAAACAGATCAGTGCTGTCGGGGGCTGAGGGTGGTGCCACGGCTTGACTATAGAGGGACAGGAGAAAATTAGGGGTGACGGAAGCAGTCTATATGTACATTGCTGTGTGCCCCCATGGCTGCACGCATTTGTCAAAACTGGGGGAAATGTATACTAAAAGGGGCGAATAGCAGTGTATGTAAATTATACCTTAATTTAAAAAAGTAAGTCTCCCTCCCCTCTCCTGCGCCCCAGGCACCTTGATTCTCTCCATAGAGGCAACCACTGTTACCAGCTTCTGAAGTATAATTTTATGGGCTATTTTATTCATTTTCAAGTGTATACCTATTTTTTAGACACAAATGGCAACATTATTTATTAATAATTTTTTTCTTTTTTTAAAAAAGCTGTATTGAGGTATCACACCATATAATTCACTTATTTAAAATGTGTGATTTAGTGTGTTCACAGTTATGTGGACACCACCACAATCAATTTTAGAATATTTGTGTCTCCCCCAAAGAAACCCTTTACCCTCCCATTCTTAGACAACAACTCATTTCCCTGTACCTAGGCAACTAGTAATCTACCTTCTATCTTTATGGATTCGCCCATTCTGGATATTTCTTGTCAGTGGAATCATACCATACTTGGTTTGTTTAGAGAGAGGTGGTATCCATTAGCACCTAGCTTCTAGATTCAATAGATACCAAGTTATTTGGTAAAGGTGGGGGCTATAAGATCTCTCCAATGTAAAGATACATTTATTGTTTGTAATTAGTAACAAAACTGTGGGGTGATATTTTGAGACTATGAATATTCTGTTTCCTAACAGCATATCATCTAGTGGTTTTAGTGTCCATTGAAGATGCTTGTGTAAATCAGTGAGACATTGGGATTACAAAGTAGTCATTTTCTATTACTATCATATCTTCAGGAATTATTTAGTTCATAGTATTTCTAATTCAGACGTATTGTACACAGTTTGTTCTTCTGTTTTTTGTTTGTACCTGTTTTCTCTCACTATGAAAGTCTTGGTTCCTAATAACAAATAAATGTTTTCTTTTATTTTAAATATAATTAATCATATCAACATATTTACATTATCCTATAATGTACATTATAATGGTCCGGAAGTCTTATCATACCTAAAATGTTTCACATTACAGTACCAAATAGGAATGCTGGATCATAGGATAAAAGCATATATGATTTTGTTAAATAATACCAGATTCACCCAATAGGGTTTTACCATTTCGCATTCTTGCCAGCAATGTAAGAGTTTCTATTTTCTTACAGCCTCATCAGTATAGTGTGTTGTTAAGCTTTTGAATTTTTGCCAAATAGATGAGAAATGGTATATCTGTGTAGCATATATTTTAAAAACTTTTCTATTATGGAGATTTGTGAACATCCACAAAAATAGAATAGTGTAACCAATCCCATGAACACCATCATTTAGCCCCAGCAACTACCAACCCAACCACCAATGCCTCCTCCGTTTATTCCCTTCTCTCAAATTATTTTGAAACAAATCCCAGATAATATTTTTCTTTTCTTTTTCTTTTCTTTTCTTTCTTTCTTTTTTTAAATTTAAATTTAAATTTTTTTTATTATACTTTAAGTTCTAGGGTACATGAGCTCAACATGCAGGTTTGATACATAGGTATACATGTGCCATGTTGGTTTGCTGCACCCATCAACTCCTCATTTACATTAGGTATTTCTCCTAATGCTATCCCTCCCCTAGTCCCCCACCCCCCAACAGGTCCCAGTGTGTGATGTTCCCCACCCTGTGTCCAAATGTTCTCATTGTTCAATTCCCACCTATAAGTGAGAACATGCGGTGTTTGGTTTTCTGTCCTTGTGATAGTTTGCTGAGAATGATGGTTTCCAGCTTCATCCATGTCCCTGCAAAGGACATGAACTCATCCTTTTTTATGGCTGCATAGTATTCCATGGTGTATATGTGCCACATTTTCTTAATCCAATCTATCATTGATGGACATTTGGGTTGGTTCCAAGTCTTTGCTATTGTGAATAGTGCCGCAATAAACATACGTGTGCATGTGTCTTTATAGTAGCATGATTTATAATCCTTTGGGTATATACCCAGTACTGGGATTGCTGGGTCAAATCGTAATTCTAGTTCTAGATCCTTGAGGAATCCCCACGCTGTCTTCCACAATGGTTGAACCAATTTACACTCCCACCAATAGTGTAAAAGCGTTCCTATTTCTCCACATCCTCTCCAGCATCTGTTGTTTCCTGACTTTTTAATGATTGCCATTCTAACTGGCATGAGATAGTATCTCATTGTGGTTTTGATTTGCATTTCTCTGATGACCAGTGATGATGAGCATTTTTTCATATGTCTGTTGGCTGCATAGATGTCTTCTTTTGAGAAGTGTCTGTTCATATCCTTTGCCCACTTTTTGATGAGGTTGTTTGTTTCTTGTAAATTTTTTTGAGTTCTTTGAGGATTCTGGATATTAGCCCTTTGTCCGATAGGTAGATTGCAAAAATGTTCTCCCATTTTGTAGGTTGCCTGTTCACTCTGATGGTAGTTTCTTTTGCCATGCAGAAGCTCTTTAGTTTGATTGGATCCCATTTGTCTATTTTGGCTTTTGTTGCCATTGGTTTTGGTGTTTTTAGTCATGAAGTCCTTGCCCATGCCTATGTCTTGAATGGTATTGCCTAGGTTTTCTTCTAGGGTTTTTGTGGTTTTACGTCTAAAATTTAAGTCTTTAATCCATCTTGAATTAATTTTTCAAGGTGTAAGAAAGGGATCCAGTTTCAGCTTTCTACATATGGCTAGCCAGTTTTCCCAGCATCATTTATTAAACAGGGAATCCTTTCCCCATTTCTTGTTTTTGTCAGGTTTGTCAAAGATTAGGTGGTTGTAGATGTGTGGCATTATTTCTGAGGCCTCTGTTCTGTTCCATTGGTCTATATATCTGTTTTGGTACCAGTACCATGCTGTTTTGGTTAGTGCAGCCTTTTAGTATAGTTTGAAGTCAGGTAGCATGATGCCTCCAGATTTGTTCTTTTTGCTTAGGATTGTCTTGGCAATGTGGGCTCTTTTTTGGTTCCATATGAACTTTAAAGTAGTTTTTATCAGTCCTGTGAAGAAAGTCACTGGTAGCTTGATGGGGATGGCATTTAATCTATAAATTACTTTGGGCAGTATGGCCATTTTCACGATATTGATTCTTCCTATCCATGAGCACGGAATGTTCTTCCATTTGTTTGTGTAAATTCTTTTATTTCATTGAGCAGTGGTTTGTAGTTCTCCTTGAAGAGGTCCTTCACATCCCTTGTTAGTTGAATTCCTGGGTATTTTATTCTCTTTGCAGCAATTGTGAATGGGAGTTCACTCATGATTTGGCTCTCTGTTTGTCTGTTAATGGTGTATAGGAATGCTTGTGATTTTTGCGCATTGATTTTGTATCCTGAGACTTTGCTGAAGTTGTTTATCAGCTTAAGGAGATTTTGGGCTGAGACGATGGGGTTTTCTAGATATACAATCATGTCATCTGCAAACAGGGACAACTTGACTTCCTCATTTCGTAATTGAATACCTTTTATTTCTTTCTCTTGCCTGATTGCCCTGGCTAGAACTTCCAACACTATGTTGAATAGGAGTGGTGAGAGAGGGCATCCTTGTCTTGTACTGGTTTTCAAAGGGAATGCTTCCAGTTTTTGCCCATTCAGTATGATATTGGCTGGGGGTTTGTCATAAATAGCTGTTATTATTTTGAGATATGTTCCATCAATACCTAGTTTATTGAGAGTTTTTAGCATGAAGCACTGTTGAATTTTGTCAAAGGCCTTTCCTGAATCTATTGAGATAATCGTGGTTTTTGCCATTGGTTCTGTTTTTGTGATGGATTACTTTTATTGATTTGCATATGTTGAACCAGCCTTGCATCCCAGGGCTGAAGCCAACTTGATCGTGGTGGATAAGCTTTTTGATGTGCTGCTGGATTTGGTTTGCCAGTATTTTATTGAGGATTTTTGCATGGATTTTCGTCAGGGATATTGGTCTATAATCCTCTTTTTTTGTGTGTCTCTTCCAGGCTTTGGTATCAGGATGATATTGGCCTCATAAAATGAGTTAGAGAGAATTCCCTCTTTTTCTATTGATTGGAATAGTTTCAGAAGGAATGGAACCAGCTCCTCTTTGTACCTCTGGTAGAATTCGGCTGTGAATCCATCTGGTCCTGGACTTTTTTTGGTTGGTAGGCTATTAATTATTGCTTCAGTTTCAGAGCCTGTTATTGGTCTATTCAGGGATTCAACTTCTTCCTGGTTTAGTCTTGGGAGAGTGTATGTGTCCAGGAATTTCTTCTAGATTTTCTAGTTTATTTGCATAGAGGTGCTTATATTATTCTCTGATGGTAGTTTGTATTTCTGTGGGATCGGTGGTGATATCCCCTTTATCAGTTTTTATTGTGTCTATTTGATTCTTCTCTCTTTTCATTTTATTAGTCTTGCTAGCAGTCTATCAACTTTGTTGATCTTTTCAAAAAACCAGCTCCTGGATTCATTGATGTTTTGAAGGGTTTTTTATGTCTCTATCTCTTTCAGTTCTGCTCTGATTTTAGTTATTTCTTGCCTTCTGCTAACTTTTGAATTTGTTTGCTCTTGCTTCTCTAGTTCTTTTAATTGTGATGTTAGGTTGTCAATTTTAGATCTTTCCTGCTTTCTCTTGTGGGCATTTAGTGCTATAAATTTCCCTCTACACCCTGCTTTACATGTGTCCCAGAGATGC
Organism: Homo sapiens; assembly: GCF_000001405.40. Lineage (NCBI taxonomy): Eukaryota > Metazoa > Chordata > Mammalia > Primates > Hominidae > Homo > Homo sapiens. The sequence continues at coordinate 2,267,436 of NC_000020.11, read as the reverse complement.
TGGTACATTGTGTGTTTGTTCTCATTGGTTTCAAAGAACACCTTTATTTCTGCCTTCATTTCGTTATTTACCCAATAGTCATTCAAGAGCAAGTTGTTCAGTTTCCATGTAGTTGTTCGGTTTTGAGTGAGTTTCTTGATCCTGAGTTCTAATTTGATTGCACCGTGGTCTGAGAGACAGTTTGTTGTCATTTCTGTTCTTTTACATTTGCTGAGGAGTGCTTTACTTCCAATTATGTGGTCAATTTTAGAATAAGTGCGATGTGGTGCTGAGAAGAATGCATATTCTGTTGCTTGGGGGTGGCGAATTCTGTAGATGTCTATTATGTCTGCTTGTTGCAGAGCTAAGTTCAGGGCCTGGATATCCTTGTTAACCTTCTGTCTCATTGATCTGTCTGATATTGACAGTAGGGTGTTAAAATCTCCCATTATTATTGTGTGGGAGTCTAAGTCTCTTTCTATGTCTCTAAGGACTTGCTTTATGAATCTGGGTGCTCCTGTATTGGGTGCCCATATATTTAGGACAGTTAGCTCTTCTTGTTGAATTGATCCCTTTAACATTATGTAATGGCCTTCTTTGTCTCTTTTGATCTTTGTTGGTTTAAAGTCTGTTTTATCAGAGACCAGGATTGCAACTCTTGCTTTTTTTTTTTTTTTTTTTTGCATTCCATTTGCTTGGTAGATCTTCCTCCATCCCTTTATTATGAGCCTATATGCGTCTTTGCATGTGAGATGGGTCTCCTGAATACAGCACATTGATAGGTCTTGACTCTTTATCCAATTTGCCAGTCTGTGTCTTTTAATTGGGGCATTTAGCCCATTTACATTTAAGGTTAGTATTGCTATGTGTGAATTTGATCCTGTCATTATGATGTTCGCTGGTTATTTTGCCTGTTAATTGATGTAGTTTCTTCATAGCATTGATGGTCTTTATAATTTGGCATGTTTTTGCAGTGGCTGGTACCGGTTGTTTCTTTCCATGTTTCGTGCTTCCTTCAGGAGCTCTTGTCAGGTAGGCCTGGTGGCAACAAAATCACTCAGCATTTGCTTGTCTGTAAAGGATTTTATTTCTCCTTTACTTATGAAGCTTAGTTTGGCTGGATATGAAATTTGGGGTTGAAAATTATTTTCTTAAAGAATGTTGAATATTGGCCCCCACTCCCTTCTAGCTTGTAGGGTTTCTGCCGAGAGATCAGCTGTTAGACTGATGGGCTTCCCTTTGTGGGTAGTTCGACCTTTCTCTCTGGCTGCCCTTAACACTTTTTCCTTCATTTCAACCTTGGTGAATCTGACGATTATGTGTCTTGGAGTTGCTCTTCTCAAGGAGTATCTTTGTGGTGTTCTCTGCATTTCCTGAATTTGAATGTTGGCCTGCCTTGCTAGGTTGGGGAAGTTCTGGATAATATCCTGAAGAGTGTTTTCTAACTTGGTTCTATTCTCCCCATCACTGTCAGGTACACCAATCAGATGTAGATTTGGTCTTTTCACATAGTCTCATATTTCTTGGAGGCTTTGTTCGTTTCTTTTTACTCTTTTTTCTCTAACCTTGTCTTCTCGCTTTATTTCATTAATTTGATCTTTAATCACTGATACACTTTCTTCCACTTGATCGAATCAGCTATTGAAGCTTGTGCATGTAGTTGTCATACCACGGTTTTCAGCTCCATCAGGTCATTTAAGGTCTTCTCTACACTATTTATTCTAGTTAGTCATTCATCTAATCTTTTTTCAAGGTTTTTAGCTTCCTTGCAATGGGTTCGAACATCCTCCTTTAGCTCGGAGAAGTTTGTTATTACCGACCTTCTGAAGCCTACTTCTGTCAACTCGTCAAAGTCATTCTTCATCCAGCTTTGTTCCATTGCTGGCGAGGAGCTGTGATCCTTTGGAGGAGAAGAGGCACTCTGGTTTTTAGAATTTTCAGCTTTTCTGCTCTGGTTTCTCCCCATCTTTGTGGTTTTATCTACCTTTGGTCTTTGATGTTGGTGACCTACAAATGGGGTTTTGTTGTAGATGACCTTTTTGTTGATGTTGATGCTATTCCTTTCTGTTTGTTAGTTTTCCTTCTAACAGTCAGGTCCCTCAGCTGCAGGTCTGTTGGAGTTTGCTGGAGTTCCACTCCAGAGCCTGTTCCCCTGGTATCACCAGCAGAGGCTGCAGAACAGCAAATATTGCAGAACAGCAAATATTGCAGAACAGCAAATATTGCTGCCTGATCCTTCCTCTGGAAGCTTCATCCCAGAGGGGCAGCCACTTATATGAGGTGTCTGTCGGCTGCTACTGGGAGGTGTCTCCCAGTTAGGCTACACGGGGGTCAGGGACCCACTTGAGGAGGTAGTCTGTCCATTCTCAGAGCTCAAATGCCATGCTGGGAAAACCACTGCTCTCTTCAGAGCTGTCAGATAGGACGTTTAAGTCTGCAGAAGTTGTCTGCTGCCTTTTGTTCAGCTATGCCCTGCCCACAGAGGTGGAGTACAGAGGCAGTAGGCCTTGTTGAGCTGTGGTGGGCTCCACCCAGTTCAAGCTTCCTGGCCGCTCTGTTTACCTACTCAAGCCTCAGCAATGGCAGACGCCCCTCCCCCAGCCAGGCTGCCGCCTCGCAGATCGATCTCAGACTGCTGCGCTAGCAGTAAGCAAGGCTCCGTGGGCATGGGGCCCACTAAGCCAGGCACAATAGAGAATCACCTTGTCTGCCAGTTGCTAAGACCTTGGGAAAAGCGCAGGATTTGGGTGGGGAGTGTCCTGTTTTTCCAGGTAGTCTGTCACGGCTTCCCTTGGCTAGGAAAGGGAAATCCCCCAACCCCTTGTGCTTCCCAGGTGAAGTGACGCCCTGCCCTGCTTCAGCTCACCCTCCGTGGGCTACACCCACTGTCTAACCAGTCCCAGTGAGTTGAACCAGGTACCTCAGTTGGAAATGCAGAAATCACCCATCTTCAGTGTTGATCACGTTGGGAGCTGCAGACCGGAGCTGTTCCTATTTGGCCATCTTGGAATGCCCCCTAATTATTTTTTAAATTAATTATTAATCACAAATCTTTGTGTCTAAAATGTGTCTAAAAAATACTTAATTTTTAAAATAATTAATAAATAACAATTACTAATAATATTTTATATTATTATATAAGTAATGTTATGTTTATATATGTCTATATAATTTATATAACATAAATATAATATTACACTATGATAATAGTTTATAATAATTTTTAATAATTAAAAATAATAATACTTAATTTAAAAATAATTAATACTATTCTGCATTCCTTTTGCTACCTCTGCCTCCCAGGTTCAAGCAATTCACCTGCCTCAGCCTCCCGAGTAACTGGGATTACAGGTCCCCACCATGATGCCCAGCTATTTTTTTTGTATTTTTAGTAGAGATGGGGTTTCAATATGTTGGTGAGGCTGGTCTCAAACTCCTGACCTCAGGTGATCCACCCACCTTGGCCTCCCACAAAGCTGAGATTACAGGCATGTGCCACTGTGCCCGGCCTTGCAAATTGAATATCTTGAAGATACTTTTCTATGTTTTTTGTTGTCATTGTTGTTGAGACAAAGTCTCACTCTATCACCCAGGCTGGAGTCCAGTGGCGCAACTTCAGCTCACTGCAACCTCCGCATCCTGGATTCAAGTAAATTCTCCTGCCTCAGCCTCCCAAAGTGCTGGGATTACAGTTGTGAGCCATTGTGCCTGACTGCCATGGCTTATTTTTAACTATTTTGCCATTTCTAATTTTATTGCACTGTAGTTAAAGATCACGGGCTAGTTGAACAATAGTTATTTTGTCTAAGGACAGGAAAGACGTTTGTGGCTCTCTGTACAGAGCACTGCAGAATCATGGACTATCAGACCATCGCTACCTCCTCTGGCTGTTGAACTCCAGGCTCAAAGATGGTACCCTCTAAGGTTTCCTGGACTCCCTCTCCTGTTGCGCCTTTGGCTGCTCTCTTTACTTCACAGCCTGCTGGTGCTGTGCAGGAGTTTGCCACTAGGCTATGCTGCTCCAGGGCAAGGGCCTGGCCTTGACCTTCCCAGGGCCTCCCCAGTCCCTGAGAGGGCGTGGGCCCTCCAAAGATCAGCTGAGCACAGGATCTGGGTGGGAAGAATGCGCACAGGCCAATGCGTTCATGTGCATTTGATTATGGTTCAGGGAACTTTGTTGTCATTTGTTAAAAACCAAATGTACAAGGTAGGTTTAGAAACCAAAGACAAGGCCTGATGGGGAGCGGTGGCTCACACCTGTAATCCCAGCACTTTGGGAGGCCAAGGCAGGCCCATCGCTTGAGCTCAGGAGTTTGAAACCAGCCAGGGTAACGTGGTGAAACCGTGTCTCTACAAAAAATACAAAATTAACTGGGCGTGGTGTTGCGCACCCAGCTACTTTGGAGGCTGAAGCGAGAAGATCACTTGAGCCTGGGAAGTCAAGGCTGCTGTGAGCCTGGATTGCACCTCTGCACTCTGGCCTGGGTGACAGAGTGAGAACCTGTCTCAAAACAAACAAACAAACAAACAAACAAAGCAATGCAAGGCCTTCAAAGAGAAAGGAAATAACATAGGTCCTTAGGAAATCCTGGCAACTCCAGAACTCGGATGGTGATTTTCCCTTTCATCTCAAATTTGCAGCCAGGATTTTTCTCCTCATACTAGAGCAACCTCTATTTTAGTTACAAGGAAACTTCTAAAAGTAGTTGATTTTTCTAAAAGCCAATTCACAGACCAATATTCTGAATTAGGACAGATCCTTCACAAGTCTCCACAGTCTACTCTGATTACTGAAAATAAATTACCTTGAGCACATGTGCTCGTCTACCTGGGAGCTACTGTATCTGCTAGAATCCACCAGCACTGCCTGGAAAGCCTAGGGGGCTCCGGCAAAGCTCACTTCCCACCTCTCTAAGTCGCTGCTCAAAATCCCACTGAAAAAGTCAGGCTGGCCTTATGCTTAAGCCTGGACGTGATTGGATACACTGTGATGTCTTCCAAGTTAGAGTTCAGTGGTCAGGCTGAGCACAGTGGCTCACCCCTCTAATCCCAGCACTTTGGGAGGCTGAGAGAGGCAGAGAGCTTGAGCTCAGGAGTTCAAGACCAGCCTGGGAAACATGGCAAAACCTCGTCTCTCCAAAAAAATACAAAAATTAGCCAAGTATGGTGGCATGCATCTGTAGTCCCGGCTCCTTGGAAGGCTGAGGTGGAAGGATCTCTTAAGCCTAAGAGGTCGAGGCTGCAGTGAGCTGTGAGAGTGCCACTGCACTGCAGCCTGGACAACAGAGCAAGACCCTGTCTCAAAAAACAAAAAAATAGGGTCAAGTGGTCACAGGAGAAGCTTGCTAAAATGACATGATTATAATTATCCATTGCCAAACTAAAACCATCTAATTGTCTTTAATATTCCTGGGTTGTGATAGTGAAGCTGGGATTAAGTAGGGAGTGAACGAGGTACGTAATAATAACAACCCCTCCCTTAAGTCTGTATATAGCAGGCAGATGTGACTAAAGAAAGCCCTACTTTGGGAGCACTATTTATTAATCCACTTTTCACTTTAATCCGGAAAGTATTCTAAAATGCTGAGTCCTTGCTAGCCATCAAGTGCATGGGTGTCGATGAAGTCCATCTCTCTAAACCTTGGCTTCCTCTTTTATAAAATGGAGAAAGTTCCTTCTATTTCCCAAGTTTCTGGGAGACTGAGAGAGATCACAGATAGAGATATCAGCCATAGAGAAGATTCCTTCAATAACCACTGTGCTTGTCAAATGAGGGCCTCTGATTCTCTTGCTGTAATGATGAGGAAGTTTTCCATCCTAGCCCCTTGACACTCAGTCCATTGAATGAAAATAATCTATGAACTTTCTAGCCAGCATCATAGTAACACCAGATGAAATAATGGATGGATAAGGGTGTTGGACCATATAAAACAGTGTAATGACATCGCCACCTCCCTCCTTTCACATCCACACACCCCTTTCTTCCTGGGTAATTCAAACCTGTCCTTCATAACTCAGTGCTACCTCCCCCAGGAAGCCTTCCTGGAGTGCCCAGCCTCAGTTTTCAGGACCGTCTGGGCTCCCAGAGCCTCTCACACGACACTGTGATGGCATGTTTGCTCATCTGCCGCCTCCTCTGGTCTGGAGGCTAAAGGGCAAAGTCTGCGTCTTTCCTGTTGGCATCCTGTGGCGGGGTGTGGTTTCTGGCACAGGGTGGGCATGCAGTAAGTGCTTGTTGACAGATACTGATGGCCTTGAAGGTATTGTTAGGAGCAGAAGGCTGTAAGGCCGGGCGTGGTGGCTAATGCTTGTAATCCTAGTACTTTGGGAGGCTGAGGCAGACAGATTGTTTCAGCCCAGGAGTTCGAGACTAGCCCTGGCAACATGACAAAGCTCTACTAAAAATACAAAACAATTTAGCTGGTCAAGGCAGCATGTGCCTGTACTCCCAGCTACCCAGGGGGCTGAGGCAGGAGGATTGCTTGAGCCTGAGATATGGAGGTTGCAGTGAGCTGAGATTGCATCACTGCATGCCGGCCTGGGTGACAGAGTGAGACCCTGTCTCAAAAAAAAAAGATAAATAAATAAAAAGAGGAGAGGGCTCTATCTCACGAAGTATGGCTTTCACAGAGTCTTCCCCCATCTCTTGTTTGTTTGTTTGTTTGTTTGTTTGTTTTTAGAGACAAGGGTCTCGCTCTGCTGCCGGGCTGCAATGCAATGCCCTGATCATAGTTCACCACAACCTCCAATTCCTGGGCTCAAGCAATCCCCTACCTCAGCTTCCTGAGTAGCTGGGACTATAGGTGCTCACCACCGTGTCTGGATAATTTTTTTATTATTTTTGTGGAGATGGGGTCTTGCTGTGTTGCCCAAGCCAGTCTTGAACTTGTGGGTCAAAAGGTCCTCCCGCCTCGGCCTCTCAGAGTGCTGGGATTACAGGTGTGAGGCATCGCTCCCGGCCCCTCCCTTATCTCCTGACCAGATGTACTCTCGCCTTGCTCAGAAGAACCCAGAGTTATTTTCTGCTGTCTTCTCTCCCACAACTTGCAGCAAGGCACTTCACCCCCTGGGCCAGGTGAGCACAGCACTGCTCACCTGGTGAGGAGCCAAGAGATGGGAGGTGCTTTGAAGGGACTGAAGGAGACGGGCTCGCAGACGGAAAAGGCAAGACCTCTTGCTTCTTTCCCCACCTACTGTTTTCCTGTGGCACCAGGAACACATTGTAGAGACTGAGTCAGGATTAGTTCTCAGCTGACTGTGTGCTTCCCTCCCTGCTCTGGAATATCTGGCTCTTCCCTGGGCTGATTTCTCCTCCACAGAGGCCCCCAGTCACTCTCACTGGCTTCCTGTGGGTAACACACACCTTGGCGATCTCCCAGCATCCTCCAAGACAGTGGTTCTCAAACCTCACTACACACTGGGATCACTGGTGCACATTCCAAGAGACTTCTCTGCAGCCCTGATCCAAGAATTCTGATTTGATCAGTGTGTTATGGGGCCCGTGCCTGACCCAAGTTACATAGGCCACAGCTGGGCCCACTTTAGAGGAGGCTAACATATCACTGAGAAATCAAACCAAATGGCCTTCAGAATGCCTCTAGCCTGTAACGTATTTAAGCACGTTTCCTGCTCCCCAGACACGTAGATCTTAGAAACAGATGCTGAAATGGCCGTTAGAGGTCATCTGACCCAACCTCTTCACTCAAGGATTGGGAAACTGGGGCCCAGAGAAGGTATGTGACTTGGCAGGACCAGGACTTGAACCCAGGTCTCCTAACCCTGGGTTAGGAGGTGAGCTCTCCCTTCATTAACCCAGACCGCCTTTTGGGATAGTGCAGAGCTTTAGGGCATTAGGTAGGGGAGATTCCGAACATTGCTTTCAAATGAACTACTAAAGCTCAGAATAAATCTCCATTCACCACTGCAGAAGCCCATGGCTCCAGAAAGCACAGTTGTGCACCTTGGCCAAAGCTGTTCATGGCTGTTGTCCAGACTGTTATAAACAGAAAAATGCTGGAACTGGTGGAATTAGGAAGGCATCAATCAGGGCTGGTGTTGAGCCCCAGCTCTACCATTTACGAGTTGATTGACCTGGGATAAATTACTTCTGTGAGCTTCAGTTATCTCATCTGGACAACTGAGTAGATGGTGGCACCATGATGATGACGCAGCCCAAGACAAAACCTGGGAGTCATCCTGGATCCCTCTAACTCCCCACCCCTCAGAGCCATCAGTCACCAAGTCCTGATGGTTTCTAACTCCTAAATCAATTTCTTCAGTGCATCCATTTCTCTCTGTTTCTCCCGACATTGTCCTAGCTTAGCTGCTATTCTCACTACTGTGAATCACTGCTGTTCCCAGCTCATCTCCATCCTCTAGTCCTACCCTCTCCAGCCCGCCCTCCACACCAAAACCAAAGTTTCCCTTAGAAATGGGACATCTGGCTGGGCATGGTGGTTCACGCCTGCAATCTGAGCATTTTGGGAGGCTGAGGCGTAAGATCACTTGAGGCTAGGAGTTTGAGACCAAACTGGGCAATATATGGAGACCCATCTCTATGTAAATAAAAAATAAAAAATTAGCCATGGTGATGCATGCCTGCAGTCCTACCTACTCAGGAGGCTGAGGACAGAGGATCAATTGAGCCCAGGAGGTTGAGGCTGTAGTGAGCCGTGATCACACCCTGCACTCCAGCCTGCGCAACAGAGAGACCCTGTCTTTAAAAAGTAAAAATAAAAAAGGGCCGGGCGCGGTGGCTCATGCCTGTAATCTCAGCACTTTGGGAAGCCAAGGCGGGTGGATCGCCTGAGGTCAGGAGTTTGAGACCAGCCTGGCCAACATGGTGAAACCCCGTCTCTACTAAAAATACAAAAATTAGCCAGGCACGGTAGAATGCACCTGTAATCCCAGCTACTTGGGAGGCTGCAGCAGGAGAATCACTTGAACCTGGGAGGCAGAGGTTGCAATGAGCCAAGATCGTGCCGTTGCACTCCAGCCTGGGTGACAACAGTGAAACTCCATCTCAAAAAATAATAATCATCATCATAAAGAAAAATAAAAACAAAAAAGAATAAGGACATCTCATCCTATCATCCCATCACTTAAAACCTTCCAACACCCTCCACCTTGAATCTCCATCTTAGGTGAAATGCAAACATCTAACCAGGTGGTCTGGAGTCTGGAACCTGCCTACCCCTCTGGCCTCATTTCTCGTCTTCCCTACCCACCCACCTCTATCCTCAATCCCATTCTCTGCTCACTCCAAGACCTGAAAGCTTCTTCAGGAAGCCCTCCCTGACTTTTCCCAGCCTGAGGCAGGACCCACCGCAGTGCTCCCAAAGCATTCTGAACTTCTATTATAAACACAGAAGGCTTGATAACTGCTTCCTTACCTGACTCTCCCCCATAAAAGCACCATAGGGCAGGGACCACCTTGATCTTGAACTTGATCTTCATTGTACCCCCAGGGCCAAGTACTGTGCCAGGCAAAATGGTTGGCACTTCCTTTAAAAAAAAAAAAAACAGACCAAACCTGTAAAATGATATGATATTGATTTAATAAGATAATTACACAGAGGAAATGAGGAAGCATACACACAAACCCTGCAGTGTCTGACATGCATAAGTGATCAATAACATGCTTTGCCTTATCCCCGTTTCCCTTGCAGTTCCTAGATTTTATGATCTGGGTTCTAGTTCAAGTTTTGCTTCTAACCAGTTACTTGGTTTTTCTGGTTCTGTATTTCCTTTCCATTAATTCGACAATGTGGGCCAGGTACACAGTGGCTCACACCTGTAATCCCAGCACTCTGGGAGGCTGAGACGGGAGGACTGCTTTAGCTCAGGAGTTTGAGACCAGCCTGAGCAACATAGTGAGACCCCATCTCTATTAAAAAAAATTATACATAAAAAAACTTGACAATATGGTCATAAGGAGTTAAAATTATATATATTTAGGCGTCTGTAGGCCTTTTCCCCTTTCTCCTTCCCTGTTAACCTCCTCTCCCTCTAAGGGTCAGGAATCAGGAAGGACATCGCTCTTCCATAGCTCTTCCCTTGCTGTGGGATAATTAAGGAATCAGAGAGACTGAGGGGTTGAGGAGGAATTATTTAATTATTTAGGTGCACCGACCCCGTCAAATTAACATCCCAAGGACTGAGCCCCGAACAAAGAGTCAAGCTACCTTTTAAGAATTTCATGGGGCGGAGAGAGATCTGTGCAGGTGGAAGTGTATTACAGAAGCAAGAAACAAAGACAGTTATTCAATTAAGACGTGCATTACATTATTTCTTACTTTCCAAGGAACAATGTGTTTTATGACTTGAGATTATCTGTCTAGTGACCTTGCAGCTGCACAGCTAGAGAAACAGAGTCTTCACAATGCCTGGGAAAGGGAAAGATAAGGCTCACTAGCCACCGAGAGAAAAACAGGCAGTTAATTTTAAAGAACTCCAGCCCTTTCTCTTCCTCAGGGGGAATTGGATTTTCTTACATACAACTGAGTTTTGGCTTACACAGTCTTTAATTTCTTTTAATTCTTGTTCCACCCCAGGCCTTCTCAGTCCATCATGGAGACCACTTAACAGGCTGCTGAGAAGATTTTTTTTTTTTTTTTTTTTTTGAGATGGAGTCTTATTCTGTCACCCAGGCTGGAGTGCAGTGGTGCAATCTTGGCTCACTGCAACCTCCGCCTCCCAGGTTTAAGCGATTCTCTTGCCTCACCTTCCTGAGTAGCTGGGACTACAGGCACGTGCCACCACGCCCAGCTAATTTTTTTGTATTTTTAGTAGAGACAGGGTTTCACCATGTTAGCCAGGATGGTCTCGATCTCCTGACCTCAGGTGATCCGCCCGCCTTGGCCTCCCAAAGTGCTGGGATTACAGGTGTGAGCCACCGCGCTTGGCCAGAAAAGATTTTATTTTATTCATATTCCCAAGTCCAAAGAAATTCTTCCTGAGGTCAGGACTGCTCCCTTAAAGGGCATATAATGTACAACTACCGGATCTTGGTGTATGACAGCCCCGGGGACTTCAAGTACCTCTGTGTTTTCCAAGGCTGAGCCCTGCCCAAGTGGTGACAGGACACGTTTTGCCCACACCCTGTGCCTTGCCACTCTGCAGTCACCTTGCGTGCAGGGAGGGTGAGTGGTGGAGGAGAGGGCAGGACAGGACAGACCAACTGCAAGGGAAGCTGAGGAAAGATGCGTGCACACGCCCTTGCTGGTACTGTCATGCTGCTGTGGCTGCCAGCTGGGGGCCTGGGCCCCCTGGGCAAGAAGCAGGAAGGAAGAAGGAGACAGGAGACCTTAGCCTTCCCATGCCATGGCACTCTTCCTCTTTCCGTTCCTCTTCATTCCTCTACCCTAGCTTAACTTAAGAGTTCCAAGACTGCCCCAGAGTAGCTCTTGAGTCTACCATGGAACCACGAAGTGACACAGAAGCAGGAAAAGGGTTAGCCACCAACTCTGGGTGTGGCAGGGAGAGCAGCCGTCACATCCTTGGGCATCCTACCAAGAAAGTACAACCCAGGGTCTCTTTATCTACAGAGACTCTGGGGCCCATGATCTCATTGTCAAATGTATACTACCGTAAAACAAAGACATTTGTAAATTCAATATGAATATGCCTGTCAGTTGCTTCAGGAAACACGGAGTTCCTCAGGCCTTTTCTCCTTAGAAGCAACACAACTCAATTTGGTCTTTTACTGAGCAACTAATTTATATAAGCCTCCCTCCCACCATCGCCAACAAAAAGAAACAAGCCAAGCCTGTCTTCCCAGGAGTTTACCACATATCTCAGGAGACAAGACATGTGTACAAATAGTCCAAGAGAGAATGAGGTAAATGCTACAACCCAATCCAGGACAGAAATAATAGGAAAAGATTGACGCTGGCTGGAAAGATCAGAAATGTTTCATGAAAGAGACCGCATCTGAGATGGACCCTGAAGGAAGAGCAGAGTTTTGACAATCAATGTTTTCTCACTGGCTCTATTGATTGAGGCTGGGTTAGCTTGACTTAGAGAAAACCTCTTTGGGTTCCAGTAAAGTGTGTTTTTAGTCTCTGCTGCTGTTTTTGGATACCTTGGTAAAAGGGTCTGGTAAGGGTGGGTGGCCTTATCTCTCCAGGCCTCAGTTTCCTCTTCTTGGTATGTGAGATCAAATTCGGCTGTATGCCTGGCTCCTCCTTCTCTATTTTGTTCTCATTAGAGGTAGAAACACAATCCAAAGCTAAAGACACAGGATATGCCCTGCGAAATAATTTATTATTAGGGTATTCACAGCTCTCCGAGGCTCCTTCTAGGATGTTAATCCTAGATGTGATTTCATCATCTCCTACGTCTCCAATACATTTTTCTGAAAAAAGAAAGAAATAATAAAGAAGTTGTAGGCTGGGTGCTGTAGCTCTCACCTGTAATCCCAGCACTTTAGGAGGCCAATGTGGGCAGATCGCTTGAGATCGGGAGTTCGAGACGAGCCTAGGCAGGAAAGTGAGACCCCCCGCACCATCTCTACAAAACATACAAAAATGAGCTGGGTGTGGTGGCACATGCCTGTGGTCCCAGCTACTCGGGAGGCTGAGGTGAGAGGATGGCTTGAGCCTGGGAGGCAGAGGTTGCAGTGAGCTGAGATCGCGCCACTACACTCCAGCCTGGGCAACAGAGCGAAACACAATCTCAAAAAAAAAAAAAAAATGCACTTGTACCTGAAAAAATTGTTACAAAAATCATGACTACATTATCATGTTGGGGAAAATTACTGTTTTAAAGGCAGATTAGAAAAAAGGCAGACAATCCAACAGAAAAATGGGAAAAAACCTTGACAAGCTCTTCATGAATAAGGACATTCAAATGACAAATAAGCATATAAAAATGTGCTCAACCTCATTAGTCATCAGGAAATGAAAATTAAAACCACAATGTAATAGCATACCCACTAACTATATGGCCACAGTGAAAAGAACAGACAACAGCAAGTGTTAGCAAGGACGTGGGGCAAATAAAATTCCCAGACATTTCTTGTGGGTGTATAAAACAGAACAACTACTTTAGAAAAATGTTTCAGAACATTTAATAAAATGAACATATGCATACTCTATGGCCCAGCAATTCTACTCCCAGGTGTATACCCAATAGAATTACATAAACTCGCCAAAAAACAGGTACAAGAATGTTCATAGCAATATTTTTCATAATAGCCAAAGACTGGAAACAATCCACATTTCCATCAACATAAGAATGGATTAAAAAATTATTGTTTATTTACGGAACTAGAATACCACACAATCATGAGTAAATTTAATGGATATTTAAAATGAAAAAAGAGGCCAGGTGCAGTGGCTCATGCCTGTGGCTCATTCAATGGCTCATCCCAGCACTTTGGGAGACCGAGGCAGGCAGATCACCTGAGGCCAGGAGTTCGAGGCCAGGAGTTCGAGACCAGGCTGGCCAACATGGTGAAAATCCCGTCTCTACTAAAAATATAAAAATTAGCCAGGCATGGTGACAGGAGCCTCTAATCCCAGCTACTTGGGAGGCTGAGGCAGGAGAATCGCTTGAACCTGGGAGGAGGAGGCTGCAGTGAGCCGAGATTGTGCCACTGCACTCCAGCCTGGGTGACAGAGCGAGACTTGTCTGCAAAAAAATAAAATAAAATTAGAAAAAGAGGCCGGGTGCCATGGCTCACACCTGTAATCCCAGCACTTTGGGAGGCCAAGGCGGGTGGATCACGAGGTCAGGAGTTCGAGACCAACCTGGCCAACATAGTGAAACCTGGTCTTTACTAAAAATACAAAAAATTAGCCTGGCATGGTGGCGGGCGCCTGTAATCCCAGCTACTCACAAGGCTGAAGCAGGAGAATGGCTTGAACCCGGGAGGCAGAGATTGCAGTGACCCGAGATCGTGCCATTGCACTCCAGCCTGGGCAACAGAGTAAGACTCTGTCTAAAAAAAACAAAAAAGAGAATGAACAAACTTGCACAACATCATGGATGAATTTCACATAGATCATAATGAAAAAAGAAGCCGAACGAAAAAGAGAAGATGCTACATGATTTCATTCATATGAAGTTCAAGAACAGGTTAAAAAAATTATGGTGTTGGAAATCACAATAGCGGTTACCCTTGTGAAATGATCTCCACAGGGTTGACAAAAATTACCTGCCAGGCACTGGCCAGAAATACAATTAAGCGTTAGGCTACGCTTTGGCCCACTTTCTTGTTGCTAAAGGTCACGTACTGCTAGTTACTGACCATTTGCATCTTTATTGTTCCTATCAAGAGGAATTCTGACATTAGCATCATAAGACTGTTTAAGAATCATTTCCCCATTGCATCCTTATTGTTCCTATAGACAGGATCTTTGACATTAGAATCATATGGCTTTTGTCTGAGGGTCACTTAAGATGCTTTCAGACCCTGAATTCCAGCAACCTGTTTGAAGACCCCTACAGATGAATGCGATCAGCATGAGACTATAGCTTCTTCCTCTCCCTGCCCCCTGCCCCATGGCTTGGCCCGGCACTCCTCAATCAATCGGCAGTCTCCAAATTTTGGCCCACACCCAAAGCCTTAAAAATCATAACTCCTCAAGGAGAGGAAGTTGAGGTTTCCTCCCATCTCCTCATTTGGCGACCCTATGATTAAACCTCTTTCTCTGCTGCAACCCAGTGTCTCTCCATGTAGATTGACTTGCTGTGTGCATTGGGCAATGAACCTATTACAATTACACTTGGGGAGATGAATTAATGACTGGAAGGGGACACAAGGAGGGACATTAGGGATCTTGGATTTTTTAAATCTAGTTGACAGTTACCCAATATGTTCACTTTGCGGAAATTTATTGCGCCATATGCTAATGATTGTGCACTTTTCTGTATGTATGTTATACTTCAATAAAATCTACATTAAAAAAAAGCAAGTCAGAACCTGTTTTGGCTCCATAGCTACATTTCAAATAATAGGAAAACAATTTATGGCGAGAGAGAGAAGGGGTGTTCCTATTCTCTCATTCTCTCTACTGAGATACAAATTGATTTGCACTATAAATTACAAATGATAAAATGATAAAATTCACCAATTTCAAGTGCAGAATTCAATGAGTTTTAAGAAATATGTAGTAGGCCGGATGCAGTGGATAATACCTGTAATCCCAGCAGTTTGGGAAGCCAAGGTGGGCAGATCACTTGAGGCCAGGAGTTTGAGATCAACCTGGCCAACATGGCAAAAACCCCATCTCTGCTAAAAATACACACACACACAAAACTTAGCCGGGCATGGTGGCGCACACCTGTAGTCCCAGCTACTCAGAAGGCTGATGCACGAGAATTGCTTGAACTTGGGAGATGGAGGTTCAGTGAGCCAAAATCAGGCCACTGCACTCCAACCTGGGTGACAGAACAAGACTCTCTCTCAAAACAAAAAAAAAAAAAAAATATATATATATATATATATATATATAGAGAGAGAGAGAGAGTAATGTAGTAGTATACACCCAACTCTAATGATGATAAACAGTATTTCCATTACTCTAAAGAGTTCCCTTGTTCTCTATAGCCAATCCTCTCCCCACCCTGTGGCCACCACTGATCTGCTTTAGAAATTTCACAATAGTTTTGTGTTTTCTAGAATTTCATATAAATGGAGTCATGGAATCTTATCTTTAAAATTATTTTATTTAAACATTACAATGTATGGTAGGTCACAACTAGGTTGAACTGAATGTATCACAAGGCATTTGTCCCCTAACACCACTCTATCCACTTCGGCAAAATACGCAG
The DNA here is from genome assembly GCF_000001405.40 of Homo sapiens. NCBI lineage: Eukaryota > Metazoa > Chordata > Mammalia > Primates > Hominidae > Homo > Homo sapiens. The sequence goes on along the minus strand of NC_000020.11, from coordinate 2,251,680 downwards.
GCTCTTTACTGAATGTCCTATTTTAAAGCAAAATTGGCTGGTGGGAATCTGCATATCCTAATACCAAAGAAAGATTATATAAGAGATGCGGTATACCCTGTGCAGTCCCAGAAGACAGAGTAAAGACCTGGGGGCCATAGCACAGAAGGCCATCTGCAGCTTAATGGAAGGGAGGTTACTCCAAAAGCTAGAGTTTATCAACCCCTAGAATGTGCTGCACCCGCAATAAGTCATTTCCCTGTCCACAGTGGACAAACAGAAAGGTGAGATGTCTGACTATCGAGGTGTCAGAGAAGGCACCCAGGCAGGACACTCAACTCAATGGCTTCTGATGTCTAGTCCAAATCTAATATCACATTGTGGTTAATTGAGCTCTAAAGCAAATCACAATTTTTTTTTTATTTGAGACAGAGTCTTGCTGTGTTACCCAGGTGGGAGTGCAGTGGTGCAATCTTGGCTCACTGAAACCTCTGCCTCCTGGGTTCAAGTGATTCTCCCCTCTCAGCCTTCCGGGTAGCTAGAATTACAGGCACCTGCCACTACACCCGGTTAATTTTTATATTTTTAATAGAGATGGGGTTTCACTATGTTGGCCAGGCTGGTCTTGAACTCCTGACCTCAAGTGATCCACCCACCTCAGCCTCCCAAAGTGCTGAGATTACAGGTGTGAACCACTGCATCCAGCTGCAAATCACAAATATTTTTTATATCAAGTAGGATAAAGCAAAAAACTACATTGGTCAAAGCATACACTTTGCAGCAACACTAGAACGTCCCACTACCAGAAAGGGATATAACTCGAGATGAGAGAAGCTATGAAAGGGCAACAAAAACACGTGAAACCCAATGAGAACATCTAGAAGATAAAGAGCCTATTCTTTTTTTGTCATCAATTTTATAAACAGCTTCCAGGCTGTGAAATTAAAGGGGACATAGAAGAGATGTTTTTTCTTAATTTTTTAAAATATCATCCACAGACTCAGCAGGTGAAAGAGATGTTTTTTGAGGCAACTTCTCAGTGTTCACTAGACTCTAACCTCCTCTCTCCGATTAACACAATCGGTCTGCGAAGCCCATCCATTTCAATAAAACTCAGTGAACATTAGCTGGACCTTGAAGGTGCTCAGCTAGGCATTGCACAGAGTAGAGCATAAATGAGCTACAGTACCTGCCTTTGAAGTAAAATAAGCATGTTCACCACCTCAGCCCAAAGCCAGGCTAGATAGCTGTCACGGAGGAAAGGTGCAAACTCTCACAAGGGTAGAAGGGAGAGCAGGATGGCCAGAGAACTTAAGGCTGGAAGGAGAATGAGCTGCTGGACCCTAAAGAACAGTCTGGGTTGGGTACAGTGGTTCAAGTCTGTAATTCTAGCACTTAGGGAGGCCAAGGCAGGAGGATCACTTGAGCCCAGGAGTTTGAGACCAGCCGGGGCAAGATAGTGAGACCCCGTCTCTACAAAAATAAAAAAATTAGTGTCCCCTGTGGTGGTGTGTGCCTGGAGTCCCAGCTACCTGGGAGGCTGAGGTGGGAAGATTGCTTAAGCCCAGGAGTTCAAGGCAACAGTGAGCTATGATTGCACCACAGGACTCTGGCCTGGGAAACAGACCAAGACCCTATCTCTAAAGAAAAAGAACAAGCTGATTGTCCATAATGAGATGCAACAGCATGGCTTACTTTGGAGAATTTTCCAAAAGCCAGATCATTTGTTTGTCTTTTTTAAAAAAAATCCGTTTTAAGAATAAATGTACTTAACAGGAGATTACCAGGAAATGTTGGCTTTCACTCATTTTCTTCAAGGGACACTTAGAATTTACTGAAAATAGCACAAGAACAAAATGAGGCCAGTTGCAGTGGCTCACGCCTGTAATCTCAACACTTTGGGAGGCTGGGGCATGTGGATCAACTGAGGTCAGGAGTTCAAGACCAGCCTGGACAACATGGCGAAACCTCATCTCTACCAAAAATACAAAAATTAGCTGGGCATGGTGGCGGACATCTGTATTTCCCAGCTACTTGGGAGGTTGAGGCAGGAGAATTGCTTGAACTCAGGAGGCAGAGGTTGCAGTGAGCCGAGATTGTGCCACTGCACTCCAGCCTGGGCAATGAAGTGAGACTCTGTCTCAAAAAGAAAAAAAAAAAAAAAAAAAGCAAATGAGCTGGGATTCCAAATAAATGGGTTCTATTTCTAAGACTATGAAACTTTAGTTAGCTGGGCCTTGATTTCATCATCTGAAAAATAAAAGAGATGGTGCTAAATCAGTGGTTTTCACTTGTGCTTCATGGAACCTCAAGAGTATGGGGAAGCAGGGTATGACCCCAGACCCACTAGGCTCACAGTAGCTCAATTTCTGAGTCTTAATTGGGCTTCTAAGCAAGGCTTCATTTTGAATAAAGAATTTTGCTATTTTGAAAAGTTAAAATAGGCTGGGTGTAGTGGCTTATGCCTATAATCCCAATGATTTGGGTGGTTGAGGCAGGGGGACTGCATGAACCCAGGAGTTTGAAACCGGTCTGGGCAGCATAGCTAGATCCCATCTCCGAAAAAAAAAGAAAAGAAAGAAAGAGAGAGAGAGAGAAAGGAAGAAAGAAATAAAGAAAGGAAGAAAGAAAGAAAGAGAAAGAAAGAGAAGGCGAGAGAAAGGAAGAAAGAAAGAAAGGAAGGAAGAAAGAAAGAAAAAGAAAGAAAGAAAGAGAAAGCGAGAGAAAGAAAGAAAATAGGGTTTGCAGCCAGGTGCGGTGGCTCATGCCTGTAATCCCACACTCTGGGAGGCCAAGGTGGGTGGATCACCTGAGGTCAGTAGTTTGAGACCAGCCTGGCCAGCTTGGTGAAACCCAGTCTCTACTAAAAAATACAAACGTTAACTGCGCCTGGTGGTGAGTGACTGTAATCCCAGCTACTCGGGAGGCTGAGGCTGGAGAATCGCTTGAACCTGGGAGGTGGAGGTTGCAGTGAGCCAAGATCTTGCCACTGCACTCCAGCCTGGGCGACAGAGCGAGACTCCGTCTCAAAAAACAAAAACAAAAACATAGGGTTTGCTGAATACTTTGGTGGGGTTGTCTTGCATCCAGAGTCTGGGACTAGAATGATCTCCTCAAAGTACAAGTTCAGGGCATTCCATGATTTTGTGTATTTATTTTTACTTCTTATGACATTATTATACAACAATTTATTTTCTCTACAATGTTTTTAAAATCCTCAGACAACGTTTTCTTCTTTTCCTTTTCAGCCTCACTCTTTTTTTGTGTTATTTTTCTCTTTTCTTCTCTATTTTCCATTCACTTTCCTTTCTTTTTAGATGTGTGTGTAGAAGGCCAGGCACGGTGGCTCATGCCTGTAATCCCAGCAATTTGGGAGGCTGAGACAGGCAGATAGCTTGAGCTCAGGAGTTCGAGCCCAGCCTGGCCAATATGGTGAAACCCTTTCTCTACTAAAAATACAAAAAATATGCATGTTGGTGCGCATGTGCAATCCCAGCTACTCAGGAGGCTGAGGCACAAGAACCTGGGAGACAGAGGTTGCAGTGAGCCGAGATCGAGCCTCTGCACTCCAGCCTGGACAACAGAGCGAGACCCTGTCTCAACAACAACAACAACAACGACAACGACAACAACAAAAGATGTGTGTAGAAAAGAATTAACATACCATGCTGGAGACTGTTAACGTTAGAAAGCCCTGCTGGTAAGGTTGGCACTAAACTGTTTGTACAAACAGCGTAGTTTATTCTGAACACCTGCTTTCCTTCTGGGAGTCTGAAAATTTTGGTATGTGCTAGGCAGAGGTGCCTACATGACTGATCAGATAAAAGCTTTGGAACCCCAGGCTCAGACAAGCTTCTCTGGAAGGCAGCGTTTCACAGATGTTGTTACAGTTTGTTGCTGGAGGAATTAAGTGCATCCTTAAGTGACTCCACTGGGAGAAAACTGGAAGTCTGCACCTGGTTTCCTCCAGACTTTGACCCATGCACCTTTTCCCTTTGCTGATTTTGCTTCGTATCCTTTGACTGTCATAAATCATAGCTGTGAGTTCAATGACATGGTGGTCCTGGGAGTCCCCCTAGTGAGCCACTGAACCTGAGGTGGTCCTGGGAACCCCTGGCACAGAGCATCATAAGTGGACCTCACTAGAAGGACCTTGGCTCTGATATATGGTGAAAGTGCTGTTTGAGAAAAGGAAGGATGAAGGAGCGGAAGATCTGTGGATATGAATGATGTGAAACCCCAGCTGAGTTACTGTCTGCTGCAAGAGGTAAAAGTTACCGATGAAATTTGAAAATGATCGCTCCAATCCCAGAGAACTGGCTTGCCGGACATCCTGGGTGCTTTTGGCAGTGCTGGCTAAAGTGAGGGGAAAAATGGTCAGCTTGCTCAATGTCTTTCATTTTGTTCTATCCTCCAGGTGGGAGGAAAAAGGCCCAGCCATCCCAAAAGTTTAGCTTTGGGCCAAAGATGTTAAAAATTTACCAGCCTGGCCAATATGGGGAAACCCCACCTCTACTAAAAATACAAAAATTAGCTGGGCATGGTGGCACGCACCTGTCGTCCTGGCTACTTGGGAGGCTGAGGCAGGAGAATCACTTGAACCCAGGAGGTGGAGGTTGCAGTGAGCTGAGATCGCGAAACTGCACTCCAGCCTGGGCAACAGAGTGAGACTCCGTCTCAAAAAAAAAAAAAAATTTGCATCACTCTCTTCTCCAGGTGGGAGGAAAAAAAATCAATTCCCAGGAGCAACACTTAGATACAGCAGAGAGGAAGCAGATGGGGTGGGAGGGGGAGAGGTGCAGCCATTACTATACACCTTTCCCTTCTTGCACTCCAGCCAGAGCTCCTGGCAGCTGTAAATGCTGAATTTACTGCTAAGGGTTTGAGTAAATATGCAACAAGAAAACAGTTTATTGTTTTTAATGGCTTCGTATTTGTGGCTATTGGATCTGGATGTATGGCAAGAATGGATGAGAAGTATTATAGGCTTTATAATTTCATAAATGCTAGAGTGATCATCCCAATTGGGAAAAGCTGCAAAAATATATAGAGAGATGGGACACATCTTTCTTGGTTTTTGCCACTGGTGAGCAAATTAAACTGTTTTGAGTATTAGAAATAGAGTAAGTCCCCATAGTGAGGATTTTTACTACCATGTTTGCCGATCAGAGCCTCTAGGAAAAGGCAATCAGCGTGAAAAGAGAGCCACTCACCAGATTAAAACCACTTTTGGAATTTTAAAAAGCAGGCTTTAATTGCTAATGAGCTCCCATAAATCATATCAGATGTTGTGAAATCCGATCCTTACAGGCTGATAATTTTCCAGCCTGCTGTGGGTCAACTTGGACTCTTAAGAATGGCACAGAGACAAAGGGTTTAGGAAAGCCTCGCTTGTCATTCAGACTTGGAACACAGCGATTTGGCCCTCCAGTGTCTTGCCTTTTTTGCAGTCAAAGAAATACCCTTGGTGTTTTTGGAATCTTGCATTCTCTGCCCCTAATTGCCTGGGCTCCATGGAGCTGAAACCTGATGCTGTCTGCCATGGGCTGGTTCAGCCTCTGCTCCAGCTGTGCTGAGCTGAAGAGGCACTGGCTTGACTTTGACTCCAGGATTGCCATAGATACTGGACACCTCTTTGGGGCCCTAAACTATGAGAACATTCTGGCTGGATTGTCTGGATCCCATACAAATGTCCACAGGAAAAGGCTTATACACTGCTGGGACCATCTGAAATCAGGTGGCAGATAGGCTCTGTATTTCTGATACAGAGACCACTTGCAGTCTGACTTGAGATTACTGCTGAAAGCTGCAGGTCAGGGAGGGCACATCACAGGGACCAGGGCCCTTTGCTCACTCCTGATAGGTGGACCCTCGACCCCCTCTTGGAGATGCCTCACTGCTGTTGATTGTTGTGTTCAACTTGCAGGACTAGTTGCAGTTTGCAACAATGGACCAATAGCCTGGCTCCATGCCTCTCTGTCCTGGGACACACACCTTAGTGAGGCATTTTGGTTACTAAGTGCAACTGTGCCCAGTAGGTGAGTGAGCTTTTCCAGGCTGCTCAGGATAAAAGGGATGGGAGGTTATATAAACCCAGTTTGAAAATTTTTGAAAATTCGGGATTCCCTCCTTGACCCATTCCTGAGCATGATGTATCTTTCTGGTTAAGTTATATAAAACCGTTTTTTGATGAAAATGCTTTTGTCCCTCTTGCATACAACCCTTCCAGGTGAGAGGTCTGGATGACAGCAGGGGATGGTTTTTAAAATGTAAAGTTATGATGGCTGAATGCGACACACCGATTTTGAAACAACAGAGAGATGACAGAAACCCTAGTACCCTGGGAGGTGCAGGGGAGCAGTGAGGGCTTTAATATCCTTTGTCTTTCAGAACTGCTTCTGGAAGCTCTCCTTTCTTCCTGAAGGGAAAACTCCCGGTGCTGCCTTTCCTAATTCTGGGAGAACTCTGAACTCTGACACGCTGAGCAGCAGGGGGCGACCCAGCCCCTCCACTTCCTGCACAGAACACCCCCCGAGGTCCTGCACACTCAGGAAGCAGGCGAGCTTGTGTCACAGACAAGCAAACCATTGGTAACTGACATCCTCAGGCAGTCCCTCTGAAACCAAAGCCTGAACTGATTTAATTGAATGAAACTGGAAGCCTAGGGTGGGAGCCCTGCGATGGGAGGTCACACTTGGGGCCTTGTCAACCTGTTCTGCTAATGTATGCAGCTTGGGGTGCCCCAATAATTGTCAACTCTTTGTTTCCAGGGGTACAACATGTGCCCTCTGGGGCTGGACTTCTTGTGTGTGTATTCTCCTGTGACAACACTGCCTTAGCCCTGGAAGGGATTCAGGTCAGCTTCATCTTATTGGACAGAGCTGCACTGTGTCTGAATTGCTGCCTTGGGCCAGGTAAAAAACGTTCATAAAAATACTTTAAAGTTTACCTTTAAAGATCTTTATGGCTGATGGGATTTGTTTTACCTGGCTAAGTACAGGGCTCCTAAAAGGCATATAACTGATAGGATCAGTACGGCAGGTTGGTCTCATCCTGCTGATGGGTCCTAGTGATAATTTTGCTGTAAAGATGCCTTGTCCAGAAAAGAGTTGGCATAGCAGGCCTGAGACTGCCATTCTTAGAAAGACCTGCTCACGAGTTTGGCTTTTTTTTAGGCGGGGGGGAGGTGGTGTGTGGTGGGTGCGGGGTGCAGTGGTGTGATCTTGGCTGACTGCAATCTCCACCTCCCAGGCTCAAGCAATCCTCCCACCTCTGCCTCCCAAGTAGCTGGGACTACAGGTATGTGCCACCACGTCCGGCTAATTTTTGTATTTTTTGTAGAGATGAGGTTTTGCCATGTTGTCCAGGCTGGTCTCAAAACTCCTGGACTCAAGCAATCCACTGGCCTTGGCCTCCCAAAATGCCAGGATTACAGGTGTGAGCCTACTGCACCCAGCCAAGTTTGGCTTTTGATGGGCATTTGGGAACACAGACTTGGGGAGGGTTCTCACCATTCCCTAAGTGATCAGAGTGGCTCACTGCACTAAACCATTTGTACAAACAACATGGTTTATGCTGAACACTTGTTTTCTTTCTGGAAATCCGGAATTTTTGTATATGGTAGGTGGAGGGTACATGTGGCCATCCCCAGAAGAAACCTTGGGCACCGAGTCTCTATTGAGTTTCCCTGGTAGACAACATTTGACATGTGTTGTAACAATTTTTTGCTGGAGGAATTAGGCATGTCCTGTGTGACTCTACCGGGAAAAGACTTCCAAAAGCTTGGGCCTGGTTTCCCCTGTCTTTGCCCCATCCCCTTCTCCCTTTATGGATTTTGCTTTGTACCTGTTCCCTGTAATAAGCCACAGCTGTGGCCGGACACAGTGGTTCGTGCCTATAATCCCAGCTCTTTGGGAGGACGAGGCGGGTGGATCACCTGAGGTCAGGAGTTCGAGACCAGCCTGGCCAACATGGTGAAACCCCATCTCTACTAAAAATACAAAAATTAGCCAGTATGGCAGCACACGCCTGTAGTCCCAGCTACTCGGGAGGCTGAGGCATGAGAATCTCTTGAACCTGGGAGGTGGAGGTTGCAGTCAGCCAAGATGACAGCACTGCACTCCAGAAAAGAAAAAAGCCAAACTTGTGAACAGGTTTCTCTAAGAATGGCAGTCTCAGGCCTGCTATGCCAACTCTTTTCTGGATGAGGCGTCTTTACAGCAAAATTATCACTAAGACCCATCACACACACACACACACACACACACACACACACACACACCACACAAAAGAGCAAGACCCCATCTCAAAAAAAAAAAAAAGTCACAGCTGTGAGTACAACTATATGCTGAGTTTTCTGACATCTCCTAGTGAAGCAGTGAACCTGGGGGTGGTCTTGGAGACCCCAACATAGTGAGAAAAAAGGTAAAAAAGGATGAAAGAGATGTATAGGAAGGGAGAAGAAGGAAGAAGATAGTATAACCCAAGAAGGTGGAGGGAGAGGGACGAAGAAGGGAACGGGGTTAAAAGTCAATATACTGGTAGAACTGAACCTAGCGGCTTCCGGGCTGCCATACCTAATGTGAATTCCAAGACTCACAACATCAGAAGACAATCCTCAGACATCCCTGGCACAACACAATTGTCCCAGCAAAACAGAAATCCCAATACTCCCAACTCTGCTGGGAAACATGAACGAAAATCATCACAATCAATCCTTTACAGATGTGCAAGACTGAAGAGCTTTTGTCCATTTTATGGAACTTTGACACCACTCTGTGAGGCAGGCTGGACAGGGATTCACAGAGCATTTAAAGGCCTCCTGCTCCTAGAGTCCAAATTAATTGCCCCATCTGTTTGTATTTCTTTGACAAAACTTCCCATGATCAGATCTGCATTGTGTGTTGGTTTACTGTGCACATCTGCCTTTTCCACTAGACTTGATTTCCTTGAAGGGGCACGGTCTGAATTTTTTTTTTCTTGTCTTGTCTTTCTTTGGGTGAGAGATAAGATAATCTTTTCTTTCTTTCTTTCTTTTTTTTTTTTTTTTTTTTGAGACGGAATTTCACTCGTCACCCAGGCTGGAGTGCAATGGTGCCATCTCGGCTCACTGCAACCTCCGCCTCCTGGGTTCAAGCAATTCTTCTGCCTCAGCCTCCTGAGTACCTGGGATTACAGGCACCTGTCACCATCCCCAGCTAATTTTTGTATTTTTAGTAGAGACAGGGTTTCACCATGTTGGCCAGGCTGGTCTCGAACTCCTGACCTCAGATGATCCCCCAGCCTCGGCCTCCCAAAGTGCTGGGATTACTGGTGTGAGCCATTGTGCCTGGCCAAGGTAATCTTTTCTTTTCTTTTCTTTCTTTCTTTTTTTTTTTGAGATGGAGTCTCACTCTGTCACCCAGGCTGGGAGTGCAGTGGCACGATCTCAGTTTACTGCAACCTCCCCCTCCCGGGTTCAAGCAATTCTCCCGCCTCAGCCTCTTGAGTAGCTGGGATTACAGGAGCCCACGACCATGCTCAGCTAATTTTTGTTTTAGTAGAGACGGGGTTTCATCATGTTGGCCAGGCTGGTCTTGAACTCCTGACCTCAGGTGATCCGCCCACCTTGGCCTCTCAGAGTGCTGGGATTACAGGCATGAGCCACTGCGCCCGGCCAAGATAATCTTTTCTAGTGATAAATTCATTGTGGGAAAATAATAAAAATAAAACAAAAGTCACATGGGATCCCTATTTTAGTCAACTCTGTATCCTATTCAGATTCAAGAATAACCTGGCATACAGTAGGCATTCAATCAACATTCGCTGATCTGTTGTTAGCTAAGATTCTAGTTATGAGGACACCTTCCTCAAGGGATTATCAGGAGAATTATATGAGAATGTACATAAGTGAATCTGGTAAACTGCAAAGCATTTTTTAGATCTAAATTAGCCATTATAATAATGCATCCTCAACCTTACATTCATTTAAGAAAATATTTGAGCTGGCTGCAGTGACTCACACCTATAATCCCAGCACTTTGGGATACTGAGGCTGGAGGATCACTTGAGCCCAGGAGTTTGAGACCAGCCTGGGGAACATAGCAAGACCCCTGTCTTTACAAAATTTCTTTTAAAAAATTAGCTGGGTGTGATGGCATGCACCTATAGTCCCAGCTACTTAGGAGGCTGAGGTAGGAGGATCACCTGAGCCCAGGAGTTCAAGGCTGCAGTGAACCATGATCATGCCACTGCACTCCAGCCTGGGCAACAGACCCTATCTCTTAAAAAAAAAAAAAAAAAAAGAAGAGAGAAAGAAAAAAGAAAGAAAGAAAGAAAAAGAGGGAGGAGGGAGGGAGGGAGGAGGGAGGAAAGAAGGGAGGAAAAAGACGGAAGGAAGGAAAAGAAAAAAGAGAAAGAAAGAGGGAGACAGAAAGGGAGGGAGGGAAGGAGGGAGAGAAAGAAAGAAACAAAGAGGGAGGGAGGGAAGAAGGAAGGGAAGGAAAGAAGGGAGGAAGGAGGAAAAGAAAGAAGAAAGGAAGAGAAAGAAGAAAGAGAGAAAGAAAGAAAATGAAAGGAAGAAGAAAAAAGGAAGGAAGGGAGGGACGGAAGGAAAGAAAGGAAGAGAAAGAAGAAAGAGAGAAAGAAAGAAAATGAAAGAAAGAAGAAAAAAGGAAGGGAGGGAGGGAAGGAAAGAAGGAAGGAAGGAGAGAGAGAGAAAGAAAGAAAAAGAAAGAAAGAAAGGAAAAAGAAAGAAAGAAAAAGAAAACTTTGAGAAGATGACTACATTTTCCAAGTGAGCTGATGAGCCGCCGCTTGTAGGAGGGTGCCTTGATTCTCCCATTTGTAGATAACAACACTGAGGCTCAGAGAGTTGGAACGATTTACCTAAGGGTCACATAAACATGTTTTTATCTATGTCAGTCAGTGTCTTCCCCTCAGAAATTAGATTTGACTTTATAATTTATTCTCACTTAATTTCCTAGTACAGTTGTAACGGATTTTAAGTTAATAGCTTTTTCTCTTCTCTTTCCCTTTTTGCTTTCACTTATCAAAATTGTCACAAATCTTCAACACCCCAAAAAAGGCATACTATTTCTTCACGGAGAGGTGGAAAGAACATGAATATTGGAATGAGACAGACTCGGGTTTGAATCTAGGCTCTGCTTCTCATTAGCCAGGCAACTTTGGGCAAAGAACTTAATTTCCATGAGACTTAATGCATTTGCAAAGTAAGGTCAATAATATCTATTAATGCCTTCTAAAGTTATGAAAATGAAGGATAATATATGTGGAGCACCTGGCTCTGTGCTTGGCGCCTTGTAGACACTTTATAAATGATAGCTGAGTGTTGTTGTAGTTATTGTCATCATTACTATTATTAATAAGTTGAAACAGGAGGATAAAGAACCACAAATTTTGTGGGTTTTTTTTTTTTTTTGAGATAGAGTCTTGCTCTGTCGCCCAGGCTGGAGTGCAGTGGTGCGATCTTGGCTCACTGCAACCTCTGCCTCCTGGGTTCAAGCGAGAATCACAAATTTTGGCTGTGTTACCTATCACTTGGTAAGCGCTAGTGAAACTGGACTGGCAGGTCACTTGTGAAGCCAGCATCAAAAGGTCTTTCCCTCAAGAGACCACAAAAACAAAATATTGAAGTCAGCAACTTCCACTTCTGAGGTGAGGCATTGAGTAGATTCAACAGTCCCATCCAGGTGTGACATTTCTTTTTAGCATCAGCTTCACTGCTCATGACTCACTAAACTTGGAGACAAGGGATAGGAATTACTGAATTTGTCATAGCATCTCATGAATGAATGTGTATGGTAAGGACAAAAGGGGCTGAGAACCAAGCCCTGTATTGGGGTGGGGAAGGGAAAATGAAGAACTTAAAACTTCAATAAAGAGAATGAGGAAGGATCTGAATCAAGCAAAGTACAGGGGCGAAACCTGCCAGCTTGTGATCGAGTCATGGCGAGAGCTTCTTAACTCAGTTACGTCTAAAAGAAACACCAATACTTGGCGTCAGTCTTCAGTAGATAAGAAATGTGGGGGAAAAAAATAATAACCAGGAAAGACACAGGGTCAGAGAGCTGGGAGGGAGCTCAAGGTCACCAGTGTAGTCATTTTTATACTGTGGCCCCAAGTCTTCAGAGGTGCTTCCGAGACACCACAGATCCTGAAGGATTCCTTGCCAAGAGGATGGCTTGCTGTTTCGGGAACCTATACAAGCTTTTGTTCTGTTTTTGTTCCAGTTCTAAAGAATTTAAACACCAGTGTTATATACCAATGCCTGTCTTTTACAGACGAGAACCTGAAGTCCAGAGAGGAAAATTAACTTGCTCAAAGTAACACAAGGGAAGGCTTGGGCCTTCAACCCGTAAGTCTTGCTCTATCCCCAAATAGGAATGTGAGACAGACACACTGGCTATTCATTCCAGTTTATACATGATGCCAGATGTGGGGCTCTACCTCGCCTAAACTTAAAGGAACTCTTCTTTTTTCTGGAGACAGGGTCTCACTCTGTTTCCCAGGTTGAGTGCAGTGGCAGAATCACAGTTCGCTGCAGCCTCAACCTCCTGGGCTCAAATGATCCTCCTGCCTCAGCCTCCTGAGTAGCTGGGACTACAGGCATGTCCCACCACGCCCGGCTAATTTTTTATTTTTTGTAGAGACAGGGTCTCTCTACGTTGCCCAAGCTGGTCTCAAACTCCTGAACACAAGCGATCCTCCCTACTCAGGCTCCCAACATGCTGGGATTACAGGCATAAGCCACTGTGCCAAAGTCATAATGAGAGGCCTTCTCTTGTCATTAGGAGGTGAGGTTCAGTAGGGCTTCAATGTCTGGGCAGTGGAGGGTTCCTGCTTCCTGAAAGGCGACCTCTTAAAATAGCACTTGTTTATTTACACCAGGACTGACCTCTCATCTCCAGCCTCCTGATCCATGCTGGTCTGGCCCAGTTCCCTGTTACTTTCCAGCTCTCACCTTTCTGCCCCTCTAGGCTTGTCTTGGGCCCATAAACTATAGGATTGAGTGAGAAGTGCCCGGATTTCTCCATTCCCTGTTTTACTGGCTGTCATTGGGCCTGAATGGGCTCCACCTCCTTGGAATTCCCTAATGCAGCTAATTGATTCCATTCATAAGAGTCCCCAAGTTCTTAAAGCTGGAAGAAAATTTTGAGACCATTTCATTGAGTCTCCTAATTTTATAGATGAAGAAACTGAGGTCCGTGTGATTCACACAAAGTCACGTGGTCATATCAGGATTCAAATTCATGTTTTGTAATTCTACATCCAACACCCTTTCCGATAGCCATACCATCATTCTCCCATTTAATTCAATTCAGTTTAAATCAAAACATACCTGTGGAGGCTGGGAGTGGTGGCTTAGGCCTATAATCTCAGCACTTTGGGAGGCTAAGGCAGGTGGATCACCTGAGGTCAGAAGTTTGAGACCAGCCTGACCAACATGGTGAAATCCCATCTCTACTAAAAATACAAAAATTAGCCGGGCATGGTGGTGGGTTCTTGTAGTCCCAGCTACTCGGGAGGCTGAGGCAGGAGAATCGCTTGAACCTGGGAGGCAGAGGGTGCAGTGAGCCCGTAGTTCTAGCTACTGAGGAGGCTGAGGTGGGAGGATTGCTGGAGCCCAGAAGGACGAGGCTACAATGAGTCGTGATTGTGCCACTACACACCAGCCTGGGTGACAGAATGAGACCACTGTCTCAAGAGGAAGGGAGGGAGGGAGGGAGAGAGGGGGGAAAGAAGGAAGGAAGGAAGGAAGGAAGGAAAGAAAGAAAGAAAGAAAGAAAGAAAGAAAGAAAGAAAGAAAGAAAGAAAGAAAGAAAGAAAGAAAGAGGAGTGAGCACATGGAAAGAACCTGGTTCCTGGATGGAATCATTCCTGAGCTGCCACCCCAGCCCTAGACTGCCTGTCCCCACACTTCTTGTTGCATGAAATAAAAGAATCCCTCTTTGGTTCAGCCAAATAGCAGCACTTCTCTTATATGCAGCTGAACACAATTGTGAATGGCTCATGGGCCTTGAAAAAGTCTTGGGATTTCAACAAACAGAGGCAGAAGACAGTGTCAGGAAACGCTCAAGACAGGGAAAGCTGGGGGCATGTTCTTGACAAAGCAGGCGGAGCAGATAGGGAGGTCAGAAGAGACGTTGTGATAGGGACAGAAGACCAGGGAGGCTCAGAGGATGGATGTGGATTTCATTCTGAAAGCAGGGAAGAATTGCTGGGGGAAGTGAGCAGTGCTGTTCTTGGGGAGTTGACGCTAGTTCCTTGGCACCGAGTGAGCCTTGGGCCCCCGGATGAGCAGGCAGGGCAGCTACTGAGGAGCCTGGAGTGAGAGTGGGTGGCCTATTTCATTCCAATCTGCTGTGCTTGTATTACATTCCTGTTAGCTTAGTATCTGCACAGAACACCAGGGACCGCAGTACCGCAAACTCTTTGGCATTCTGAAGGCCCTGCTCTCGCTGTGTCACTTTCCTCCCACTGGCAATTACCAGACTGGCAAACCGCAGCCAGCCGAACCTCGCCCTCTGGCTTCCAAAGCGTGCCCTGCTTTGACTGCAGCATGTTGTAAGCCACAAACATCTTCGCCAAGAAATGATTAGAGAAGGAAGCTATGAGAAAACAAATGTGTATAAAAATAAGACATGGTCTTGAGTCATTGATAGGAAAATGGAAGCGGAAAAGATATCCAACCCAGAATGGCCTTCAACAAGTTCAGGGACCCACAGGCAGCTACAAGGAAGGAAGTGTTCCCTGGTTTCGTCTTTTTGTGTGAACGGATTCTCTGATTTTGATACTTGAGCCTCAGAGGCAGGTGATGCAATGGGAAAATACAATATTGTTCCCAGTCTGCCCCTGACTACCTGTTTGAGCTCACAAAACAAAACAAAACACCTACCACTCTCTAGACTTTAATCTCCCCACCTACCCACCTTGACACTGAGAGGATTGGACCAGAGAAATCAAAGCCTCATCCTCCTCAAAAACGTTCCGGCCCCCATCTCCCTGCGCAGCCAGCAGTGTCCCGGCTCTCTGCCCATCTAACATACCAGGCCTCATGTTGCATGTGTTTGACTCTGTCCCGAGTCCCCAGCTAGTTCCTCGAGGACAAGAATCCTGTTTTCCCCGCAGTCAGTACACATAGCAGAAACTCAATACATCTTGACTGAATGGATTCGTGGGCTGCACAGTTGTTTCTTGATAAAGGTTTCAGGACGGAAGCGGAGATGCTGTCAGGGCAGGAAATGGCACGTCAGTGACACTCCCAGGCTCTAGGCAAATCAGCTGGAAGAGAGAATGGAGCTAAGTTCGTGCAATTTATCAACAACTATATTCCATAGAATTAACCCACCAGATGTTTTCACCTTCCGCGAAAAAAAAAAAAAAAAAAAGCGCTCTGGTCAAAAAAGATTAAGAAATTTACTAACCGAATCCCACGTTCCACTCATTCCTCTATGGACATGAGCCTAGAAAAGGCTCTAAGATATCTGTTTACTTTTATGTAACCTAGAATTTCCCAAACCTAGGGAACCTGTGTTCGGAAAATGCCCATAAACTGCATGAACGCAGTTTGAGAAGCACTGGTTTAGTGTGAATGGTTTCTACAGTGAAGTTTTTATTTACAAACCATGTTGGGGTCTGTGAAAAGCCCCTTTAGGGCCAAAAATCACTGGTCACTGCATAATCAAATAGACAGACAGATATAATAATTCAGATTATTATTATAATAATTATGTTATTATTATAATTATTATCTCATTCAGTTAACACCTATTCAACAGCAACTGATTGTCTAGTATGCATCCCACACAAGGGATATGAGGATAAATAAGACAGGGTCCTCTCTGCAAAAGAGCACGTCCCTAAAGGGGAGGAGAAAGTACAGAATATTGTGCTGAGTACTGTAAGCAGATGTTATGGGAAGGCAGAAGAAGGTACCTGGGAGAATCATGGAAACTAGACCTTGAGTAATAAAAATAATAACATTAACAACAATACCTTCATCAAGTGCTAACCACGTACCAAACACTGTTCTAAGCACTTTACGTATATTAACCCACTTATACCTCATAACAGTCTTACCAGTTACTTTCAGTACCTACATTTTACAATGAGATCATTGAGTCTCAGAGAGGCTAAGTAACTTGCCCGAGATCACACAGCTAGAAATATGACATGGTCAGGATTCAAACCCAGGCAGTCTGGCTCCAAAGTCCATACTTTTCAGCAGTAGGCTGTACTTACTGCCTTTTGGGATGAGTAGTAAGTATACCAGATGGAAAAGGACAGAAACCTTCCAGGCAAAGGGAATAGGAAAAATAGCAAGTAGTTCTACGTGCATCAAACGTGGACTCTCAAATCTATGCCAGTAGGCTCTGGCTGTATCCTGTGGACTTGGGTGCTCAGATCTTTCCACTGATGTCCTTCAGGCAAGAAAGGAAAACATGAGCCTTTAGGGGAATCTGGAAGTGTAGCTTGAAAAAACCTCCACAAATTTCTTTTGAAGTCTCCCACCACCATCTGAAAAATGCATGAGAATTCTATATTTGACACCATAATAGAATTGTGTTGACTCCATATAAAACATTTTAACCACTTAGCAGTTCAATTAACATTTTTACATAGAACTCCAGGAACACATGCCATTATTTCTCTTGAGGCCTCGGGTATCCCTGGCAACCTGCTTGCATCCATGACTCCCCAGCTGGAGGCCTAGCTGTAAACAGCAGGAAGTCATTTAAGATGCCTGAGCCAGGGACGGACCCAGCACATTTGCGTTTTCAAAAGGTGACTCTTCAGAATAGCAGGAACCTAGGAATAACTTAAATATCCATCAAGAGAAACTGGTTAAATAAATACGTTCATCCACTGGAATACTACAGTGCTCTAACAGAATGAGAGACCAGCATTTACAGATGAGAAAAGCTCTCTAAGGTAACATAGTCAATGAAAAGAGCCGAGTGCAGACCAGTGTGTACAGTGGATTCCCACTTGTGTGTGAGGTGTGGAAAGCATGTATGTTTTAAGGATATGCTTTTACAGGCAGAGAAAACTTGTAGAAGGAGAGACAACAAATGTCAACAGTAAGGATCTCTGGGGAAGGGAACCACGAGAGAACTTACATTTTTTGTTGTTTTTGAGACGGAGTCTCACTTTGCTACCCAGGCTGGAGTGCAGTGTAGCGATCTGGTCTCATAGAACCTCTCGGGTTCAAGTGATTCTCGTGCCTCAGCCTCCTGAGTAACTTGGACTACAGGCACCCACCACCACACTCAGCTAATTTTTGTATTTTTAGTAGAGATGGAGTTTTGTCATGTTGACCAGGCTAGTCTCAAACTCCTGATGTCAGGTGATCCGCCCCCCTTAGCCCCCCGAAGTGCTGTGATTACAGGCGTGAGCCACCACTCCCAGCTGAGAACTTACTTTTTATTGCATATCTTTCAGTACTGTTTGGATTTCTACCATGTGCATTTATTACTTTTTAAATAAAAGAAACAGTTTGGCCGGGCGCAGTGGCTCACGCCTGTAATCCCAGCACTTTGGGAGGCCGAGGCAGGCAGATCACCTGAGATCAGGAGTTCAAGGCCAGCCTGGCCAACGTGGTGAAATCCCATCTCTACTAAAAAAAATAATAATAATAATACGAAAATTAGCCGAGCGTGGTGCCACGCACCTGTAATCCCAGCTACTCGGGAGGCTGAGGCAGGAGAATCGCTTGAACCCAGGTGGCAGAGGTTGCAGTGAGCTGAGATCACGCCATTGCACTCTAGCCTGGGCAGCAAGAGTGAAACTCCGTCTAAAAAAAATAAATAAATAGTTTAGTGAATCTCAGAAAGTTAAAAAGTAGTTTTTAAGAAAAAGGAAAACTGAGAAAAAAACTGCTAGCTTTACAGCATAGATGATGAGTGGGGAAAAAAGAGTGATTCTAGTTGTCCCTTGGTATGTGCAGAGAGCGGGTGAAGGGAGGAATTGGTTCCAGGACCCCTATGGGTATCAAAATCCATGGATGCTCAAGTCCCTTGTATAAAATGGCATGGGATTTGCATACAATCTACACACAGCCTCTCCTGCATTTTAAATCATCTCTAGTTCACATATAATTCTTAATACAATGTAAACTATGTAAATAGTTGCTATACTATATTTTTAAAATTTGTATAATTTTTAATTGTATTGTTATTTAATTTTCTTTTTTAAAAAATACTTTTATATTAAAAATAATTTTTTATCTTAACCCAACATAGATATATTGTTATTTTTGAATGTGTTTTATTTTTCAAAGATTTTTGATCCAAAATTGGTTGAATCTGTGGGTGTGGTGTGGAACTTGCAGATACAGAGACCAATTATATAGAGAAAGACCCATTACTGGCAGGGCAAGTTAGCTCACATCTGTAATCCCAGCACTTTGGGAGGCCGAGGCAGGCGGATCACCTGAGGTCAGAGGTTCGAGACCAGCCTGGGTGACATGGTGAAAACCCGTCTCTATTAAAAATACAAAAAATTAGCCGGGCGTGGTGGCAGGTACCTGTAATCCCAGCTACTTGGTAGGCTGAGGCAGGAGAATCTCTTGAACCCTGCAGGCAGAGGTTGCAGTGAGCCGTAATCGCACCATTGCACTCCAGCCTGGGCAACAAGAACAAAACTCCTCTCCAAAAAAAAAAAAAAAAAAAGAGAAAGGCCTATTACAAAGCCACTGTCCTACAGCAAGATGACAAAATTGAACCAAGGAAGTGGCAGTAGGGCTAAGGAAGAAAACCGAGAGATATTTAAGCAGTAAAAACTCTAGGACTCGGCAACTCGTTAAGTTGCGGGGGGTATAACAGAGGTAGACGTTAAGAATAAATTCGGCAATAGGAGAGACGGGGGAGCTGTTCACTAGGAACATGTGTGCAAAAGAAACAGCCAGAATGTGGGGAGGATAATGAGTTCAGTGTTGGACATGCTAGGTTTGAAGTATCTTAGGACATTCAGATAGAGGTGACCTATTAGAAAAGTGAGTGTAAGGTTTTTGATCGTAAACAATTCCATTTACCTTATTGATGGCAATTTACTAAGTTCTAACAATGAAGAATGAAATGAGATTACCTTTCTGTGTAGTAAAGCATCCACATAGAGGGCCTGAGATTGCTATCCTGAGAAAGGCCTGCCTCGAAAGGCTGGATCTTGGCTGACTTCTGTGAACTTGCCTGGTAAAGAGTTCCCTATACCGATATGAAACTAAATGATAAGAGTGGCTCACTAGGCCTAGGTCATATTTGTGCAAACAACATGCTTTATACTTATACTGAATACCAGTTTTCCTTCTGGAAGTCTGGAGTGTTTGTACATGCTAGGCAGAGGGTGTCTATGTGACCAACCCCCGTGTAGAAACCTTGGGCACTGAGTCTGATGAGTTTCTCTGGTAGACAACATTTTTTTTTTTCTTGAGACGGAGTCTTGCTCTGTCGCCCAGGCTGGAGTGCAGTGGTGCCATCTTGGCTCGCTGCAGCCTCTGCCTCCTGGGTTCAAGCGATTCTCCTGCCTCAGCTTCCCAAGGAGCTGGGATTACAGGCATGTGCCACAATGCCCAGCTAATTTTTGTATTTTTAGTAGAGATGGTTTCGCCATGTTGGCCAGGCTGATCTTGAACTCCTGACCTCAGGTGATCTGCCCGCCTTGGCCTCCCGAAGTGCTGGGATTACAGGTGTGAGCCACTGTGCCCAGCCTGGTAGACAACATTTGCTGTGTGTTGTCATAATTTGTTGCTGGAGGAATTCGGCACATCCTTTGTGACTGTACTGGGAGAGGACCATGGAAGCGCCTGGTTTTCTCTGGACTCCCCCACATAGCTTTCTCCTTCATTGATTTCGCTTTGTACCCTTTCCCTGTAATAAATCTTAGCCACAAGTATAACTATATGCTACACCCTGTAATTCCTTCTAGCAAATTACCAAACCTGTGGGTAGTCTTAGAGACCCTCAACACGTCTTCCTTCAGGTGGGGCTGAGGTGGGAGATACACTCAAAATCTAAATCTGCACAGTCTCTCTGTTCTCCTCACCGTCCACCAATGTCTCTCTGTCACAATTCCTTATGAAGATATAACTTAAATGTTCATTTTTTAAAAGCCCAGAGTTTTTCATAAAAAAAGGTGTGGCACAGTGGCTCACGTCTGTAATCCCAGCACTTTGGGAGGCCAAGGCAGGCAGATCACTTGAGGTCAGGAGTTCGAGACCAGCATGGCCAACATGGTGAAACCCTGTCTCTACTAAAAATACGAAAATTAGCCAGGCCTGGTGACGCATGCTCTAATCCTAGCTATTCAGGAAGCTGAGGCATGAGAATCACTTGAACCTGGGTGGAGGTTGCAGTGAACCGAGATTGTGCCACTGCAGTCCAGCCTAGGTGACAGACTGAGACGCTGGTTCAAAAAAAATAGGTGTGGTGCAAGCAAGGGGTGCTCCTGCGGCTATGCCTGTCCCATAACATGGGCCTTACTGACTCTGTAGCATGCCTCAAACCAAGCTGCTCACTTCCAAGCTTTGGCAAAATGCTTGGTGATGACTGCATGGTCCTCTAAGTGCCTATTAATTCTGACAGTCCATGCCTTTGTGATTGTTCCATATTGGAATGGTTTGGGATTCTCCTGAGACAAATCCCAACCGAGGAAACAAAGGCTGATTGACACAAAGCCTGTAAAAGGAGGTGCAGGAAGAATTTTCCACCCCTGGCCAGAGTCCAAACTAGCCCCTATTAACATGTGATGAATGAAGGGTGATGCACCCAGGACTTTTGATCTTTATAATCCCCAAGCTGTCCAGTTCAGGAAACTGCTCATTCTCCTAGCCAGGCCCTGGCTCCAGGAGGTCTCAGTCATAAAGGCGTGTCTCAGGGAGGAGCTACTAGGACAAGCAATGGTTCCTTATGCTGGCTCTACTCTGAAAACTGCCAAAGCATCACTTAGTGGTGATGCTTCTTTGAGAAACGTGGGGGTTGGATGGCCTTTTTGTGTTATAAGTCAGAATGTTCGTTGCAGCCACAACTTGTAAGGCCATATCACCAGCTGGAGTAAAAGACAAGGCCTCGCAAGCCTTTCATTGTCCACCTCCGTCACCCAAGGGACTGACCTCCTTCCTAGAGCTTTGACAGGAGTCGTGTCATCTTTTCCTTTTTAGTCTCTCTGACAATGCCTCACTCCTCCCAGGAAAATATAACAACGCCAGTCTTGAAAGTAACAGCCCTACTCAGCTCCAGATGGGAGAGCTTATTGGGCTATGAAGGGTACGGCGAGAATGCTACTCACACACAGTTTCATGCGTGCATGGATAAGTCGGTCATTGGTTTTCCCATATAATTATAGAGACCATCTAAGTCTTTGTAAGTCCTAGCCTTTTCTTAGAGAACCCTTAGTCTTAATTCTCTCATATAGTTATCTGAGTCTAACGTTGCCTGTAATCTGGGTCTTTCTCTTGGCAGTTTACTAAGAAATCTCTACTTTCTTCTTATTCTATTTATACTCAGACTAGAATAGTCCTGCTATATTCCATTACTTTGCAGAAACACCCTTAGTTCTGAGTCATTAAAATCCAGAAAGACTCGGTTTCAAATACCACCTGTGGACTTCGGAAAGCCACATAATGTCTCTGAACTTTGTTTTCCTCACCTATGAAATAGGGGGCTATGAGGAATAAATGCAAGAATTTATGTGCCACACTTGGCCTCATGCCTTACATACAGCAAGCACTGAATACAGGGGAGCCAGTTTATTATACCACTTGCCACAGCTAAGCCTTTCTGAGCCTCCAGTTCTCTTTAATCTCTGAAGCTCAGGTTTTAGATGCCCTCACATTGACAAAAGCATTGGCTTTTTCTTCCATTTCTTTCTCTTATCTTTGATAACTTGCTATGTATTTTCTCTTTTCTTATCTCCTTATAGATAATTCTCTGAGTAACCTGAGCTCTGTTGGCACTTGTACCCTTAGCTTAGAGATTTTTTTTTTTTGAGACAGAGTCTTGCTCTGTTGCCCAAGCTGGAGTGCAGCAGTGCTATCTCAGCTCACTGCAACCTCTACCTCCCGGGTTCAAGCAATTTTCCTGCCTCAACCTCCCAAGTAGATGGGATTACAGGCACCTGCCACCACGCCCAGCTAATTTTTATATTTTTAATAGAGATGGGTTTCACCATGTTGGCCAGGCTGGTCTCGAACTCCTGACCTCAAGTGATCCACCCATCTCAGGGTCCCAAAGTGCTGGAATTACAGGCATGATCCACCGCGTCTGGCCACAATCTTTATTATAAGTACACACTATACTTCCTTCTTACCCATCCATTCTTAACACTGCCATCTTAAGTCAATCAGCATATGCTCATAGAGAACTTAACAAGACTACAGGCAGCATTTTCATGTCAAATAGGACACCTTAATTTTTCTTCAAGTGAATCACTAAGAGTTAGTGATAAATGAGGGCTTCCAGTCAAAAAAATTGTTTCCTGATTTAGTTTGAGTTTTGTAATGCCTGTGACAAGGGTGTATGATTGATTGAGATATCTAAACAACCAATTTTCTTTTTTGGACATATGCTGCACACATTCTAGATTCTTTTTTCCTCCTGAGATTCTGTTTAGGCCTCACCCCTTCGGCAAGAATAACAATAATCATATGGCACGTTGTCTACATGTGTGGGTTTCTGGAATCTACAGAGAAAAAATAAGTGTGAAACCCCTATCACGAATCTAGCCAGGATAGCTCCAAGGAAAGGCAAAAGAGAGCTCTTAAATGTTAGAGTCGGCCGGGTGTGGTGGCTCATGCCTTTAATCCCAGCACTTTGGGAGGCTGAGGCGGGTGGATCACCTGAGGTCAGGAGTTTAAGACCAGCCTGGCCAACATGGTAAAACCCCGTCTCTACTAAAAATACAAAAATTAGCTGGACATGGTGGTGGGCGCCTGTAATCCCAGCTACTCGGGAGGTTGAGGCAGGAGAATCACTTGAACCTGGGAGATGGAGGTTGCAGTGAGCCGAGATTGTACCACTGCACTCCAGCCTGGGCAACAGAGTGAGACTCTGTCAAAAAAAAAAAAGAGTCAAGAAACAGTAAGTTTTAGCCATCAGGAAAATACAAATCAAAACCACAAAGAGGTATCACTTCCCACCCACTAGAACAGCAATCACCAAAAAGACAAGTAATAACAAGGATTGGCAAGGTTGTGGAGAAATCAGAGCCTTCCTGCAATGCTGGTGGGAATGTAAAATGGTGCAGTTGATTTGGAAAACAGTTTGGCAGTTCCTCAAAAGTTTAAACATAGAGTTACCATATGTTTCAGCAATCTCACTCCTAGGTATATACCCAAGAGAAATGTCCGCATATGTCCACAGAAAACCTTGTATATGCATATTCATAGTAGCATTATTCATAATAGTCAAAAAGTATAAATAACTCAGATGTCCATCAACTGATGAATAAATAAGTCAAATGTAATGTATCTGTCTAGCAGAATAGTATTCAGCAATAAAAAGGAATGAAGTAGTGATACATGCTACAACACAAATGAACTTTGAAAACATTTTGAGAAGTGAAAAGAGCCAGACACAAAAGACCACATAGTGTATTGTTCCTTTTATAGGAAATGGACAGAATAGGCAAATCCACAGAGACAGAAAGTGGATTTGTGGTTACCGGCAGCTGAGGAGGATTGGGGGAAATGGGACTGACTACTCATCAGTACAGAGTTTCTCTTTAGGGCAAGGAAAATGTCCTGAACTCAACTGTGGTGATGGGTGTTCAATTCTGTGACTGCACTAAAAACCATGGAATTGTATGCTTTCATTAGGTGAGTTGTATGGCATGTGAATTATATCGCTAGAAAATGGTTATATTAAAAATAAAAAGGCCAGGTATGGTGGCTCACCCCTGTAATCCCAGCACTTTGGGAGGCCAAGGCAGGCAGATCACTTGAGGTCAGGAGTTCAAGACCAGCCTGGCCAACATGGCAAAACCTCGTCTCTACTAAAAATACAAAAATTAGCCAGGCATGGTGGCGCATACCTGTAATCCCAGCTCCTTGGGAAGCTGAGGCAGGAGAATTGCTTGAACCTGGGAGGCAGAGGTTGCAGTGAGCCAAGATCACACCACTGCATTCCAGCCTGGGTGACAGAGCGAGATTCCACCTCAAAATAAATAAATAAATAAATAAATAAGCAGTACAAGATCTTATCTTGATGACAAAGACCAAAGATCAAAAGACAGTTTGTATAACTTCAAGCCCTAGGCTAGTAGCAGCATGAAACTGGTCATACGTGCTGTAAGGAAGGCACTCTAAGAAAATCCAAACCTTCTAAAACAGATAAAAGTGGATCATCTAAAAAGATGCTTCAATACCACCTTGCCTAGGCTGCTATAAATTAATTATTCTGCAAACCAATCTGGATTGTTCAGGAATAATATTTATAAGTTAAAAGCTAAATCTGTATCCGGTGCTATTTAGCAATCACACCAGGTAAAGGTGTTATTGGCCCATTGTGCCTACTTCACGCCCTGTGAACAACCCATAGGTCATTCTAATCCCTGCCTAGGAGTTGTTTATAGGATCTGATTTAGCACTCTGCCTGTAACATGGCAGCTAAAATCAGCTTAGCCATCTGTCTCAAATGTTCTCAGTTCACCTCTTCCTATGAGTAAGTAGCAAAAGTAAAAAATGGTGTTCCTATATTCAGTAATAACCAACTGAAAAAATATAATAAATAAGGCCCTACTGACAATGGCAACAAAGAATACCAAATGCATGAGACCTACATACGGGAACTATAAAATTTTACTGAAGGACATAAAACAGAAGGCCTGAATAAAAGGAACGATATTCCATGTTCTATGGGAAATTTGGTACTGAAAAGAAATCAATCTTCTCCAAACTATCCCAAAGGTTCAATGTAATTCCAGTGAAAATTCTAGTGGAAAAATGAGTGTGCGAGAGTGTTGTGTGTGTGAGCGTGTGTGGGCATGCATGCACACGCATGTAGACAAGCATGTTTGCAGGGGTTGAGGGCACAATTTGGACAAATTAATTCTCCAGTTTTCTTGAATGAGACTATAGCCAAGGGTTTTTTGGAAAACAAAAACAGTGAGAATGAAATGAAGAAAGATCTTCTACAGAATTAGAGGAACAGAATAGAGACCAGAAATAGGCCCTTGTATTTATGAGAAATTTGTAAATGGTATTGGGGTAACTAGCTAGCATAAGAGGCCATGGCCTGGCCTGCTACTGAAGAGGCCCCAAGCTGGAAATCTTTATTGCATGGAAAGCCCTTATATTAAATTGAAAAGCTCTAGGCTTATAGCACAGGTAAAAATCTGTTAACAAGGATCCAGACATCAAGACATCTAGAAATCAAGTGTAGATCACAGGGCGGTTATGGAATAGTGACACTGTCATGTGAGGCAGAGCTGGAAACTATTGTATTAATGATATGACTCCCCATAATCCTGGGTTTGAAAGCAGGGGAGATACAGCAGACTCCTCTAATTCAGTCCTGGCTGTCTAAGCTCTGCCATCTCGGTGAGAATGAGCAATATGTGGGCCTTAGGGAGCTGTGACATCTTCCCTTTAAGGAGCTAAGTAAGTGCTTGCCACCACTAACTACATGTTAAGTGTCTTAATTCTGCAGACTCAGAAACTAACAGGGGTGCCCAGGTGTGGTGGCTTACACCTGTAATCCCAGTACTTTGGGAGGCTGACGAGGGAGGATTGCTTGAGCCCAGGAGTTCAAGACTAGTGTGAGAACCATAGTGAGACCCTGTCTTTAAAAGATAAATAAATAAAAATAAATATTTAATGAACTAACAGAGGTCTTGGCCTCCCATACCTCTCCATTGGGAAAAGTGAAAAATTAAACCTCTCTCTCACTCTATTTTTTTAAATATATTTTTTTCTGTAATTAGAGTTAAATATGAACTCTCCCTCACTCTAGACACAAAAATTAATTCCAAATAAATTAACCTTCTGATGCGACAATTCAACTTACAGGAATTTCATCTACTGAACACTCATAAAAAGTGGATCAAAATATGTAAAATAATATTTACTACAGTAATATTTCTGTTGGCCAAAAGAGTAGAAAATAATAGTTAATCTATGTTGAGGACTTACTGTGGCTTTGATTGAAGCTCTTTACACAGAGTCCCTCACTTGATCTTCACAATAGCGCTATGAAATAGGCGGTATTGTTATTTCCATGTTATAGGCAGAGAACCAGTGGTGGAGAGAGGTAATGATACTATCCAAGGTCATGCGTCTGGGTTTGCACTCCGAATATCTGGCTCCAAATCTCACTCTCTTAACTAGTACTCTTCACTGCCTCAATCCAAATGTCCATTCTTCATTCATTTATTCAAAAAACGTTAACTGAGCGCTGCCACGCTCTAGTCATTGGGATAAGCACTGGAGACACTGTGCACAAAACTAGGTATGGTCGGGTGCAATGGCTGACGCCTGTAATCCCAGCACTTTGAGAGGTTGAGGCGAGTGGATCACCTGAGGTCAGGAGTTCAAGACCAGCCTGGACGACATGGTGAAACCCCATCTGTAATAAAAACGCAAAAATTAGCCGGGTATGGTAGCTTACACCTGTAGTCCCAGCTACTGAGGGACTGAGGCTGAGAAAGGCAGGGGAATCGCTTGAACCCAGGAGGCAGAGGTTGCAGTGAGCCGAGATCATACTACTGCACTCCAGCCTGACAGCGAGACTCTGTCTCAAAAAAAAAAAAAAAAAAAAGTAGATATAGTCCCTCCTGTCATTGAGCTTACAGTCTTATGGGAGAACAAGACATACAACAATGTATACTTATAAACTGTGATGAGTGCAAGGAAGAAGGATATACAGTGCTTTCCTTTGAGACTATTTAATAGGTCACATGATGAAATGCAGGGTTTGGGGAACATTTCCCTGAAGATGCCACATCAGAGCTGAGATCTGATGGGGGAGTAGGTATGTGTATGTGTGTGAGAGCTTGAAATGTATTAGTGAAGGGAACAACTTGTATAATGACCCTGTGGCAGGAGGAAATGTGGTATAATCACTTACACCAGTCACCACAAGCACAATTTTAGGGCCCTGGCTTATAAGAAACCTATGCATGCCATCCTTTTTGCAACCTCCAAGCCAGAGGGTACTAGAGCTTGGAAGGGTGAAGGGTTACAGCAATTTGGGCCATGCCTCTAGGGGATGGGAGAGAAGGAGTTGATACGTTCCAGTTGCTGGGCTAGGACTTAGCATTCTTTGCGTGCAAACAGCACTTTGAGTAATACACATCTGCAGGATGGAATGAGTCTGTTCTCGTTTAGAGGGAGATCACTGTAGACCAGGCCTTCGGACATGTTCCCCTCCAGAAAGGAGAGACAAAGACAGATGGAAACAAATAAATGACCAGAGACAGAACTCAGTTCCAAAGATACACCATGGTAACAGTGGGAGGTCCTGGCTACTTCCAAAAGTCAGACAAAATCACACATCCACCTGCCCTCCACTGGAAAACAAGCTTCCCCAGACTCAATTCCCTGTTCAATCCATAAACACTTGGTAGGAACAAAGCACAGGATTGCATGCTGCAGGCAACAGAAAGAAATACTGTATGTACTTCTATATCTCATAGTGTTACCAGAAAGCAGTCTTGATCCAGACCCCAAGAGAGGGTTCTTGGACCTCGTGCAAGAGAGAATTCGGGGCCAGTCCATAGAGTAAAGTGAAGGCAAGTTTATTAAGAAAGTGAAGGAATAAACAATGGCTACTCCATACGCAGGGCAGCAGCGTGGGCTGCTCGACTGCTTATAGTTATTTATGGATCATATGCAAAACAAAGGGTGGATTATTCATGAATTTTCCAGGAAAGGGGTGGGCAATTCCCAGAACTGAGGGCTCCTCCCCCTTTTTAGACCATATAGGATAACTTCCTGATGTTGCCATAGCATTTGTAAACTATCATGGTGCAGGTGGGCGTGTCTTTTAGCATGCTAATGCATTATAATTAGCATAGAACGGAGAATAAGAATGACTGGAGGTCACTTTTGTGGCCATCTTGGTTTCAGTGGGTTTTGGCTGGCTTTTTTACTGCAACTTGTTGTATCAGCAAGGTCTTTGTCACCTGTATCTTGTGCCAACCTCCTATCTCATTCCGTGATTTAGAATGCCTAACTTCCTGGGAATGCGGCTCAATAGGGCTCAACCTTATTTTACCCAGCCCCGATTCAAGATGGAGTCATTCTGGTTCAAATGCCTCTGACAATAGGGCCTCAAATTATTTTTGAATAACGAGCAGTATAAATAAATAAACATAACAGGAAAAACAAGGCATACACACATAAAAAGGTCAAATTCTGCATAAAATACATTGTGAACACACCATATTAAAACAAACCAACCAAAATGCCATAAATAATAAAACGACTGGAAAGAAATATTTCTTAAAAGGTATAAATTATGTTTTGCCTCTCAAATGTGGAATTATATAGGGCTTTTTACTTTTTATTTTTTTTGAGATGAAGTCTTGCTTTGTTGCCCCCGCTGGAGTGCAATGGCATAATCTTGGCTCACTGCAGCCTCTCTGCTTCCCAGGTTCAAACGATTATCCTGTCTCAGCCTCCTAAGTAGCTGGGATTACAGGCGTGTACCACCACACCCAGCTAATTTTTGTGTTTTTAGTAGAGACAGGGTTTCACTATGTTGGCCAGGCTGGTCTCAAACTCCTGACCTCAGGTGATCCACCTGCCTTGGCCTCCCAAAGTGATGGGATTACAGGCGTAAGCCCCCACACCCAACCTATAGGGCTTTTTAAAGCTACATTTTTATATTTCCCGAAATTCTAAAATAAGCACAGACTTCATTTTTTATGGCGAGATAATAAACTTTATTTAAATTAATTAATTAATTCAATAGACATTCATTGAGTGTTCTAGCTACTAGGGATTCAGAAGTGTGTTTGGCATCTGAAGGACCGGAACGGGCAGTGTGGCTGAGGCCAAGGGAGGGAGGAAGGGAGGAGTAGGGAGTTTGGAAGGTAGCAGGATTATAAAGGTCCTTGTAAAGCATGAAAAGATTTTGGGTTTTATTCTAAATGGAATTAACTAAAACACTAAGCAAGGGTTAAATGAGGTTGGGTGTGGTGGCTCACGCCTGTGATCCCAGCACTTCGAGAAGATTGCTTGAGCCTAGGAATGAGAGACAAGCCTGGGCAACAAAGTGAGATCCTCATATCTATGAAAAAAAAAAATTATATAGGCAGTGGTGGCATATGCCTGTAATCTCAGCTACACAGGAGGCTGAGGCAGGAAGGTCGCTTGAGCCCAGGAGGTCAAGGCTGCAGTGAGCCATGATTGTGCTACTGCACTCTAGTCTGGGTGACAGAGCAAGACCTTGTCTCAAAAAAAAAAAAAAAAAAAGGGAAAAAAAGAGTTCAAATGCCCTTGCAGGAGAGATAGCAAAACAGTATAAAATTACATGGTTCAGATAGAGCAGTTAGGACTTCAGAGGAGGGTGAGGACGCTGGGCAGGAGCAGTTAGGGAAGGCTTCAAAGGAGGAGGAAAATGTTGGCTGGACCTGAAGGATGACGTCTCAGGCAGATGAGGAAGGTCATGTGGGCAGAGGGCATGCCACAGCCCTTTCCTTAACAAAATCAAAACCAAAAGCCTACCCTTAGAGATGAATATTTTAAAGGAAGGAAGCTCTGTATTGATAATGGACAACAAGACCTTTTACTTGAGATAAAAATATGTAAAAAAAAAAAAAAGATGGCTGGGAATTGTGAAAATGTTGTCTGATATACCCATATTTGCTCCCATAAGAACCCAGAGTTTGTTAAGCCTCCTGGCTCTTAAGAATATTCACACTAGGGAGGAAAAGAAAATCCCACTAGAGAGCTGCCCAGAGTTTTTGTGCTTTTCTGAACCTATGGAACAATGAAGAAGAGCTTTCAATTCTTTTTTTTTTTTCTTTTCTGCTTTCTTGTTATTCTTTTAAGTGAGACCTGCCTAGCCATCAAATACAGGCTTTTGACTGAATGCAACACAACACAAGCATAAGATATGTGTTCTGAAAAGACAAGTAGGGCTTGGCTCCCCCAAGTCATTGTAATGGTACAATTTTAGAGTGCTTCAGGTACAGACAAAGTGCCAGGCACAACATCAAGTCAACCATGAGGGTCACTCAACAAGCAATTACTGTACAAGGGGCCAGAGAAGCAAGGAAGGGGGAGGAGGCCAGGGCAGTGTTATAAAAGTAACTGAAGATTTCTTGTGTTTTGTCCTCCCACCAAACAGAAGGCAGCGTGGGCCCAGCATTACTGATCCCCAACCTAGCAACAGAAAGCAGCTCAGTGGGCTCATTCCTCCCTCAGATTTAACAAGAGCCCTTCCAACAACACCAGGTGAGCCTGGCAGTACTCACACAAGGTATAGAGAGGGAGTTCTGCTTCAAAAAAACTGAAAAAAGGCAGCCAAGGGAAGTGCTCTTCTTCCCTGCTGGGCCTGAGACTTCCATACCTCACAAAGAGATACTAGGGTAGTGGGGTGGCACTGGTGGGAGGAACTCAGCCATAACAAGCAGCCCAGCCCAGCCCAGTCCAGGAAGGCTCTCTATCCTCATAGGCCTGAAACTCCATTCCCCCAACCCAGGGACATAGGAGGTAGCCCGTGGCACCAATAAAAGAAATTCTGCCGGCCGGGTGCAGTGGCTCATGCCTGTAATCCCAGCACTTTGGGAGGCCAAGGCAGGCAGATCACAAGGTCAGGAGTTCAAGACCAGCCTGGCCAATATGGTGAAACCCTGTCTCTACTAAAAATACAAAAATTAGCCAGGCGTGGTGGTGGGCGCCTGTAGTCCCAGATACTTGGGAGGCTGAGGCAGGAGAATCACTTGAACCCGGGAGGTGGAGGTTGCAGTGAGCCAAGTTCGTGCCACTGTACTCCAGCCTGGGCAATAGAGTGAGACTCCATCTCAAAAAAAAAAAAAGAAAAAGAAAAAAGAAAAATTGATTCTGCCAAAAGGGCATGGCCTAAGAAGCCTCTTTGTCTCCACAGACCTGAGACTCCACTCATCAGTGGAGAGAAATCTAGTGGCCCTGGTCCGGGGAAAGTCCTTCTGCCCCCTTAAGCAGCACCAGCAAAGACCTGTGAGAGCCCCAGCAGTGCCAAATACACCAAACAGACCCAAATAACATTGTAAAGCCTCTGAAAATGAAACTGTCATGTAAACCACAGTCCACGAAAGTGGCCAGGACCTGTGTGCTAAATGTAAACACAGTGAGTGCCTACTAAAATAAAATATTTAAATGGGACCCTGAATATCCTAACAGACAAAATGTCTGAGATACAATTTTAAAAATCATCTGTTATACCAAGAACCAGAAAAATCACAACTTGGATGAGAAAGAACAACCAATCAACTGATCCCAACCAAGGTGAATTAAATGTCAGAATTATCTGAGAGGACTTTAAAGCAGTTGTCATAAAAATGTTTTAAAAATCAATTACCAATTCTCTTAAAACAAAAAATAGAAAATCTCAGCAATAAATAGAAGTTATAAAAAAGAACCAATGAAAATTACAGAACTAAAAATATAGTAACAGAAACAGAAATCTCAACAGATAATCTCAATATTAGAGGGGAGATGACAGAATAGAATCAGTGAACTTTAGGACAGACCAACGAATTTAACCAATGTGAGAATACAGAAAATGGACTGAAAAAAGAATGAACGGAGCTTCCAAGGCTTGTAAGACTATAACAAAAAAGCCAACATTTGTATCACTGAAGTGCCAGAAGGAGAGGAGAATAAAGGGCCTAAAATAGTATTTGAATAAATAATGGATGAAAACTTTCCAAATTTGGCAGACACAAATCTACAGATTCAAAAGCTGAGCAAACCCCAAAGAGAAACCCAAAGAAATCCATACCACAACACATGATAATTGAACTTCTGACGACTGGAGACAAACAAAACATGCTAAAAGCAGCCAGGGAAGAACTATGCACCACTTATAGGGGAACCCAATATGAATGACAGCAGATTTCTCATCTGAAACCATGGAGGCCAGCTGGAAGTGGCACAACATTGTTCAAGTGCTGAAAGAAAAGAACTGTCAGTCATGAATTCTATATCTGGCAAAATTATCCTTCATGAATAAAGGGGAAATAAAACC
Organism: Homo sapiens; assembly: GCF_000001405.40. Classification (NCBI taxonomy): domain Eukaryota; kingdom Metazoa; phylum Chordata; class Mammalia; order Primates; family Hominidae; genus Homo; species Homo sapiens. The sequence goes on along the minus strand of NC_000020.11, from coordinate 2,219,536 downwards.
ATTCTCAGACAAAGGAAAGCTAAAAGAATTTGACACTAGCAGTTAAATCCTTAAAGATTGGCTAAAGAAAGTTCTTTAAATAAAAAGGAAATTATAAAAAAAGGAATCTTGGAGCATCAAGAAGGAAGAAAGTGCAGTGGAAACAATTAGAAATATGTGTACATACAATAGACTATTCTCATCATGAATTTTACAAGTCATATTCACCTATTCTAGCAAAAAATAAAACCCTATCTGATACTCATGCAAATTATATTTAAAATCATGGAAGGTAAATAGACCTAAATCAAAGTAAGATTTCCACACTTCACTCAAAATGGTTAAGTCACATATGTATAGTGTAATACTGACAGCAACCTTTAAAAGAATTATACAAAGAGATACACTTGAAAGTCTTGTAAATAAATCAAGATGAATTTCTAAAAGATGTTCAAGAAACCCAAAGAAAGACAAGAGAGAGAAACAGAGGAATAAGAACTAGAGGGAAAAAACAGAAAACAATAAAATTGCACACCTAAGAGGTAATTAGTAATATCAGTAATTTATCAGCAATTAGCAATATCAGTAATATTAGCTAATATCAGTAATTATCTTAAGTGTAACTTGTCTAGATACAACAATCAAAAGACAGAAACTGGCAGAGTGAATTTAAAAAAGATCCAAATACATGCTGCTTATAAGAGACTCATTTGAAATTCAATAACATAGGTAGGATGAAAGTAAAAGAATATCATATTAATTTTAAAAAATCAGGAGTAGCTACATTTATATCTGATAAGGTAGATTCAAAGCAAAGAAATTTACTAGAGACAAAGAGGAACATTACATAATGATAAAAGAATCAATTTACCAGAAAGACATAACAATTCTAAATGTGCATGCACCGAACAACAGCAAAAGCAAAAGCAAAAAATGATAAGAGTTGAAAGGAGAAATAGATAAACCCACATTACAGTTGGGGACTCCAACATCCCCCTCTAAGCAACTGATGTGGTTTGGATTTGTGTCCCCCCCACCAAATCTCATGTCTAATTGAGGAGGGGGCTGGTGGGAGGTGACTGAATCATGGGGTGATTTCCCCCTTGCTGTTCTCATGATAGTGAGTGAGTTCTCATGACATCTGATGGCACTTCCCCCTTTGCTCTCTCAGTCTCTCCTGCTCCACCACGTGAAGATTGTGCCTACTTCCCCTTCGCCTTCTGCCCTTATTGTAGTTTCCTGAGGCCTCCCAGTCATGCTTCCTGCCAAGCCTGGGAACTGAGAGTCAACTAAACCTCTCTTCTTCATAAATCACCCAGTCTCAGGTAGTTCTTTATAGCAATACGAGAACAGACTAATACAGCAACTAATAAAATGACTAGATGGAAGATCAGCAGTGATAGAAAAGAGCTGAACAACATGATGCTCATTTTACGACATGCTTTTCATCCTCTGGGAGAAACTTGTCTACCTCAAAGAGATTCGTACTTTGGGAAAATCCCTTGAGGAGCTCACCATGTCCCTACCTGCTGAGAGCACAGACAAGCATAGTACAGGCTATGTTAGAAACAGGACAGAAACTTCATAGGTATAAGTATCATACGTAGGTCCTTAAGGTCCTGGAGGAAACCTTAAAGGTCATTAGCCCAATGCTGATCCCAATGCAGTTATTTATTTCTTAAGTTATTGCCTCCACCAAACAATCTAGCTCTGTAATGTCCAACTAAGGGCAAGAGAAGGCAACTTTCCCCTTTATGGGCCATTGTAACTAATGCTCAGTGTCAGTGAGGGAAAAAGAATCGACACCATGGCTATAGCCCATACTCCAACAGGCCTCATGACAGAAAGCTTGCTGCCTCCCATTCTTTCTTTGGTTGTTAGAAAGTTTTTTCTTATAAAATGAGAAAAATGTTTCCTACAGTGTTGTTAGGTAGTTCCAATTAGTACAGTTTCAAGAAGATGACAATATGGGCCGGGCATGGTGGCTCATGCCTGTAATCCCAGCACTTTGGGAGGCCGAGGTGGGCAGATCACCTGAAGTCAGGAGTTTGAGACAAGCTTGGCCAACATGGTGAAACCCCGACTCTACTAAAAATACAAAAATTAGCTGGGTGTGGTGGTACACAACTGTAGTCTCAGCTACTCAGGAGGCTTAGACAGGAGAATTGCTTGAACCTGGGAGGCGGAGGTTGCAGTGAGTGGAGATCACGCCACTACACTCATTCTGTTGACTGGGCAACAGAGTGAGACTCCATCTCAAAAAAAAAAAAAAGAAAGAAAGAAGATGAAAATATGCATAAATTGCCCTAAAATATTTATACCCCCTCAACCAGCAAATCAGAAATGTGCACTAAGATTGATTACAGATTTTATAGCAACATTGCCTATCACAGACAAATCTTGATTAAACCTTAATGTCCGACAAAAGAGGACTGGTTGAATTAAATTACAGTATACTCATAGGATGAAATCCCATCCAATCACCTAATTAAAAATCCTATTTTAAAAGAATACTTAAAGGCAGGGCACAGTGCCTCATGCCTGTAATCCCAGCACTTTGGGAGGCCAAGGCAGGATTTCTTGAGCCCAGGAGTTCAAGACCAGCCTGGGCAACATGGTGAAACCCTATCTCTACAAGAAATACAAAAATTATCTGTGTATGGTGGCACATGCCTGTAGACCCAGCTATTTGGGAGGCTGAGGTGGGAGAATCACTTGAGCCTGGGAGGTCAAGGCTGCAGTGAGCTGTAATTGTCCCACTACACTCCAGCCTGAGTGACAGAGTGAGACCCTGTCCCCCCCAAAAAAAAAAAGGACTTAATGACACGGGGAAAGGTTCATAATATATTTTAAAGTAAAAAAAAAAAAACAGGTGTTACATATACATGTATGCATATACAAGTATAAACAAAATTAATAAAATAAAATATACAATTAATATGCTATTAACAGTGACTATCACTAACATTAGAAAGAGATTTATTCAGTGCTTTTGTTTTCCTCATATTTTATAAAAGTTTCACTTCTGTAATCAGAGAACAACACAGTTTTCTTTTTGTTGTTGTTGTTTTTTCTTTTCTGAGACAAGGTCTCACTCTGTTGTCCAGGCTAGAGTGCAGTGGCTTGATCATGGCTCACTGCAGCCTCAACCTCCTAGGCTCAAGCAATCCTCTAGCCTTAGCCTCCTGAGTAGCTGAGACTACAAGTGTGTGCTACAATGCCCGGCTAATTTTTACTTTTTTGTAGAGATGGGGATCTCACTTTTTTGCCCAGGCTGGATTCAAACTCCTGGGCTCAAGTGATCCTCCCACCTGTGCCTCCCAAAGTGCTAGGATTACAGGCATGAGCCACCACACCCAGCCTTTATTTTGATTTTGACTTAAGAATTTTACTCTTCCTCACAACAGCAATTGGCCTACCTCTTGCTGTCCCTTTCCTCCCATCCATCCTTCACCAGTCCCCTGGGGCTCTGAAAGTTTCAATTCCACTGCTCTTACTTTGCCTGGCCCCAGGATGCTCCTGTCTCCCTAATTATTACTTTAGCCCAAATACAACCCACAACCCCCTTTCTTCTTTCTCTTCAGCAGGCTAAGACAGGATGGCATTTTCTAAAATCAGTTGGGAGAATGAAAAGGAAATAATTACAGAGAATACTAGCAGCAGCAAAAGGGGCGTGGCAAGAATGGGCTTGCTCACCCAACATGCCGTCTACCCCTGTGCTGTCTAATATGGCAGCCATTAGTCACATGTGGCTACTGAGCACTCGAAATGTACCTGGTCCAAACTGAGATGTGCTGTATGTGCAAAATATGCATCATATTTTGAAAGCTTTATTTATTTATTTGAGATGGAGTCTTGCTCTGTTGCCCAGCCTGGAGTGCAATGGCACAACCTCAGCTCACTACAACCTCTGCCTCCCGGGTTCAAGCAACTCTCCTGCCTCAGCCTCCCAAGTAGCTGGGATTACAGATGCCTGCCACCATGCTCGGCTAATTTTTGTATTTTTAGTAGAGACACGGTTTCACCATGTTGATCAGGCTGGTCTCAAACTCCTGACTTCTCAGGTGATCCGCCCCCTTCAGCCTCCCAAAGTGCTGAAATTACAGGCATGAGCCACTGCACCCGGCCTGAAAACGTTATTTTAAAAAAGAGTGTAAAATATCTCTTAAATAATTTTTATATTGATTACATGCTGAAATGATTTTGGATATATTGGGTTAGATAAAATAAATATTTAAACATTGATTCACCTAGGTTTCTTTTTTTACCTTTTAAAAAATGTGGCTACTAGGACATTGAAAATTATGTATGTGGCTCTATTTCCACTGGACAGTGTTGCCCTAGGGGCTCTTCCCCCTTTCTCGCTTGTCTCCCTCTCCCAGAGAGGTTACAAAACTAAATACTCATTTTCCCATCTCTCTTTCAGCTAGGGATGGTCGTAGTGACATAGTTCTGGCCAAGTGGAAGGCTGCTGGGGTGGGGATTTGGATGGGATTCTGGGAAAGTTTTGGCTTTCCTGATTTAAAAAAGACTGACACAATACACCTATTAGAATGAGTAAAATCAGGAACACTGATGACACCAAACACAGGTGAGGATGTGGAGCAACAGACACTCCCATTCATTGCTGGTGGGAATACAAAGTGGTACAGTTATTTTGGAACACAGTTTGGCAGTTTCTAACAAAACTAAACACACTCTTACAATCTCACTGCTTGGTATTTACCCGAAAGAACTGAAAACTTATGTCCATAAAAAAACCTGCACACAGATGTTTACATCAGCTTTATTCATAATTGTCAAAACGTGGAAGCAACTAAGATGTCCTTCAGTAGATAATTGAATAAACTATGGTACATCTAGACAATGGAATATTATTTAGTGCTCAAAAGAAATGCGTTATTGGCCAGGTGCGGTGGCTAACGCCTGTAATCCCAGCACTTTGGGAGTCTGAGTCAGGCGGATTGCTTGAGCTCAGGAGTTCACAACCAGCCTGGGCAACATAGTGAAATCCCGTCTCTACTAAAATACAAAAAAATTAGCTGGATGTGGCAGTGTGTGCCTGTAGTCCCAGCTACTTGGAGGCTGAGGCAGGAGAATTGCTTGAACTCGGGAGGCAGAGGTTGCAGTGAGCCAAGATTGTGCCATTGCACTCCAGCCTGGGCAACGAGAGTGAGACTTCATCTCAAAAAATAAAAACAAACAAACAAGAAATGAGTTACTAAGCCATAGAAATACATGGCTTGATATGTATTGCATATTACAATATGCATATTACTAAATGAAGAAAAAAACAATCAGAAAAGGCTGCCTACTATATGATTCCCATTATACGACATTCTGGAAAAGGCAAAACTATGGAGACAGTGAAAAGATCAGTGGTTGCCAGGGGTTGGGGGAAGGGAGTGATGAATAGGTGAAGTATTGAAGAGGATTTTTAGGGCAGTGAAACTACTCTGTATAAGACTATGAGACTATAACAGCGAATGCATGTCATCACAGGAGTATCCAAACCCACAGAATGTACAACACCAAGAGTGAGCCCTAATGTAAACTGTGAACTTGGGGTGACTGTGATGTGTCAATACAGATCCATCAGTTGTAACAGATACACCACTTGATTCAGGGATGTTGATAATGGAGAGACGGTGGGTGTGGAGGGGTGGGTAGGAGGTGTATGAGAAATCTCTGTATCTTCCACTCAATTTTGTTGTGAATCTAAGAAAAAAAAATCTAAAGCCACTTAAATAAATAAAGTCTTAAAAGAGAACGAGAATGTTAAAAAAAAAAAAAAAAAAAGACCCAGCTGGTATTGCCCCTTCCTCCCTCTCCCATTTCTTCCCGTCCCGAATGAAGGCTTAATGCCCAGAGCCGAGGCAGGCAATTCGTGGCCAGGAGAACAAAAGCCAGCCTGCCAAGGGAGGGGAGATGTGAGGCCTGAATTCTTGCTGGCAAGGTTTAGCAACTGAACCAAGACCAATTCACATCTCTTGTCATGACAGAAAAATAAAGCCCTGCTTTTCTGAAGGCACCTTAAGTGGTATTCTGTTTCTTGCAGCTGCACATATTCCTAAATGACAGAACAGACAAGTCTCCATAGGACAGGCCTCTGGCCCTAAGCCAACACATATGTAGCCTCTGTAGCTGCCACAAGCTTCCTAGCTGCCTCCTCTAGGCTCTTCCCCCCGGACTCCTCCACTGGCGCAAGGCCCCCACCTTCGTTTGTGCCCACACAGGAACTATCTCATCTCCTTATAGATCAAGACCCAAGAGGCCCAGTTTTAAAACTTCTGAAACCCCCTAGGCTGCTTCAGTTTTTGGTCTGGGGAAACGTGGTGGTGGGATACGCTAACCTCATCTCCAGGTCACACGCCTCCAAGGGGAAGTAGTCAACACCATCAAGATCTACAGGATAATACTTTAATTACGAAAAGCACAAATTATGTATCATTGGAACCAGCAAACACACAGTAGCAGGAAGGATGCTTGCTCCCAAGGCTCTTCAGTCATCAGAGGACACACTCAAGCCCCACCTGAGTCTTCTCCCCATTCCATCGGCCATCCCTGCTCAGGATGTGGTACCAGGGCCATTCCCAACAGCCTCATCTCAGTAGACTCCAGTTTGTCTAATTCTCCTTCAATGGTGCTCCTGGGAGAAAAGAGAAGGCTGCTAATTTTCATGACACAAACTCTTCTCACAGCATGGAACCACCAAGACATCAAAATACACCAGCTGCCTGAATCTGAAGCGCAGCCAAACAGAAATGAGATTTTTGTGGATGCTAATAGGCACTATGCAGCCTTAGCACCAGGGATCATTTGCTCTAGTTCTAGATCCAACTTGTGTGACTGTGGGCAAGTGACTGTTATGAGAAAGCCTCAGCTAAAACACCCTCCTGGTCTCAGAGCTTCTGACATCACCCTAGAGCAGTTCCTCCTCCATCGTGAAAAGCAGTTGAATTGGCAAACTGTGACTGTGACAAATGTCTCAGTAAACAGCGCCCTTCATCCAGGTGCACAGGCCCAAGCCTTGAGGTCACGGTCGATTCCTCTTTCTCTCCCACCCAACATAGAACTCATTAGCAGAATGTGTAAGGTCTGCCTTCGGAATGCATCCCAAGTCCAAGTGCTTCTCACCTTTCTTTACTATGCCAGTCCAAGCTATTGTCACCTCGCACGTGGACCCTTCTAAAAGCCTCCTTGGTCTTTGCTTCCACTCTCACTCCCTAAGTTCTATTCTCTACCCAGTAGCCGGAATGTTCCTATTAATCAAGTCTTGTCATTCCTCTGCTTTCACCTCTCCAATGTCCTCCCATCTCCTTCTGAGTAAAATCTAAAGTGCTTTCCATGGTTCCGAGGTCCTGGTAATCTAGACCTCAGCCTCTTGTCTACCTCCACTGGCTCTATCATTCCCTCCTCTCCAGCTGCTCTGGCATCCTACCTCAGAGACTCTGCACAGCTATTTCTTCTGCTTAGAACATTCTTCCACCATTTATCAGCCCTCACTTCCTTCAGCCGTCTGTTCATTCTACATCCTTGGAGAGGCCCTGCATGGCACATATTTTACTGTCTGTCTCCTCCTACTAGAATGTAAGCTCTTTGATGGCAGGATCTTTATTTTGTTTCTTGCTCTATCCCCAGCCCCCTAGTAAAGTGTCGGAGAATGTGCTGAATGAATGAATAAACACTGCAAATGCATAAATAGCTTGCTCAAAGTCCAACAATGTTGCTGACTGGCTTTCAGAGTCTCTACTGAGGAATAAAAAGAAATTTGTTCTTCAGTATTCCAGAGATGTCACAGGGCTCACTTTGGTTGAATCAGAGGTAGGATGCCCCAAGTTCTACCTGTTTAGGTAGTTATTCTCCCCAGAAACAGCTCCTGGCAGGATGAGGGAGTCCTACGAATTCTAAAACCCCCACAGAACAGTATTTAAAAAGTACTAAATTAGAGGTTTCTAAAGGCTTCTCTAACCCAAAACTCAAATACAGTGAGTGGATCAGAAGAAGCAAAAAGACCTTCCTTGGTCTGTCCTTCCCCTACAGCTGCTACACTTCTCTGGAAGTGGCCACAGAGGGACAAAAGAAGGAATCTGATGCCCTGTGACATTATCACCCTGATAGAGTTGCAGTGCTAAACTCTGATTGAGCCCTGCTGTTTCAGAAGTGTAATGTCAAGCAATGCACTAATGAGATGAGGAAACTGCATCAAGGAAGCCAGCTCATCCTTGGGGAGATGAGAACACACTGCCTGACGTCAGCATGACACCCAACTCCTATCTTAGCACAGGCTACAGATATTATGCTGCTGTCAGCTTCATTACGGAAACAATACAGAAATCTGCAGCAGACATTACTCCCAGCTTCTGGACTGTGAATCAATGACACCAATGCTTCAGGAGCCAAATTGGAAGGCTAGACAAAGTCATCAAACTTGAGGATTCAACAAGGTAATGGGACTGAATATGGTTTCTGGCGCAGAGCTGCTATTAGTCAGGGCAATGTGAAATTCACTGCTACTAGAGCTTCCTGGGTGGATTCACTCATTCATTCAACAAACATTTGCTGGCAATAAAGAGATCTGCCAAGCAATAAAGAGAAGAAAAAGACTACAAAAGATCACCCTGCCTTTTGTGAACTAACAATGTAATAACCATGATGACAGTGCTAAAAAAGAGCAGCCAGCTGGGTGTGGTGGCACATGCCTGTAATCCCAGCACTTTGGAAGGCCGGGGCAGGAGGATGGCTTGAGGCCAGGAGTTTGAGACCAGCCTGGGCAACACAGTAAGACCCCATATTTATTTATGTATATTTTTAAAAAGAGCAGCCAACATTTTTTTTTTTGAGCACTTGTCCTAGCAGGTACCGCTGGATTCTTTTTTTATTTGTTTGTTTTTTATTTTTTGAGTCAGAGTCTCTCTCTGTCATGCAGGCTGGAGTGCAATGGCACGATCTCAGCTCACTGCAACCTCCGCCTCCTGGGTTCAAGTGATTCTCCTGCCTCAGCCTCCTGAGTAGCTGAGATTACAAATCTGCACCACCACGCCCGGGTAATTTTTGTATTTTTAGTAGAGACGGGGTTTCATCATGTTGGTCAGGCTGGTCTTGAACTCCTGACCTCATGATCTGCCTGCCTCGGCCTCCCAAAGTGCTAGGATTACAGGTGTGAGCCACCATGCCCGGCCATGCTGGATTCTTTAAGTGCAAGATCTCACGCTATCATCACAACAGCCCGGAGTATTACTGTCCTTGTTTTGAAGATGAAGAAACTGAGGCTCAGACATTGATTCAAAATCACAGCAGGGCTCAAATCCCCTGACTATAAAAGCCAATGCCCATAACTGCTAGGAAACACTGCTTACTCTAACCTAGTGCATTAACCTAAGTGGGATAAATAGGGACCTTACACTCTGGTGAGTGAAGGGAGGTTTCTGAAAACAGAAAGAAGGCCAGGTGCGGCGGTTTATGTCTGTAATTCCAGCACTTTGGGAAGCCAAGGAGGGAAAATCCCTTGAGCCCAGGAGTTCAAGGCCAGCCTGGGCTACATAGAGACACCCTACCCGTTCCTACAAAAAATGAAAATATAATTAGCTGGGCATGGTTGTGTGTGCCTGTGGTCCCAGCTACTAGCGAGGTTGAGGTGAAAGGATCACTTGAGCTCTAGAGGACGAGGCTACAGTGAGCTGTGACTGTGCCACTGCACTCCAGCCTGGACAACAGGGTGAGACCCTGTCTCCAAAACAAACAAACAAAAAACAAAGGGCCAGGCACAGTGGCTCACACCTGCAATCCCGGCACTTTGGGAAGCAGCCAAGGCGGGCAGATTTGAGATTAGGAGTTCAAGACCAGACTGGCCAACATGGTGAAACCCCATCTCTACTAAAAAATACAAAAATTTAGCCGGTCATGGTGGTGCATGCCTGTAACTACTTGGGAAGCTGAGGCACAAGAGTTGCTTGAGCCGGGGAGGCAGAGGTTGCAGGTTGCAGTAAGCCAAGATCATGCCACTGCACTCCAGCCTGGGTGACAGAGCGAGACTGTCTCAAAAAAAAAAAAAAAAAAAAAGAGAGAGAGAGAGAAAGAGAAGAATATGGTGAATATGATGTTCTTGCCAATGGAAGAAGTCAGTCCAGGAGCCCAAGTCTGGGAATCCATAACAGGGGCCGGATTACACTGCAAGCAATAATGAATGTAGCTGCCAACATACATTTTATTTCCAACTGAGAAATAAGAAGGCCTCAGAGGGGAAAATTCACTTTCCCAGACTTTTTAGTGGGGTGGAGGGGTAGAATCATTCTCATTTGACCCCCGTACATCTTGACATTTCTACTTATTAGAAATTAAAGTATAAATTAAGAAGCTTACTCTCCCTTCTCAGAATCCCATAGCTTCTCATCTGTAACTTCCTCAAAGCACCTGCCACCTTCTCCTACTACCCTGGAGAGTTGCTGACAGATGCTAATTTAGTTTTACTAAATATATTACCTTACCGGAAAGGCTAAACATGCATAATAGATAATACCAGCTACCCTTTGTTGAAAGAGGCTTACAGATGGATGAGGAAACAGTGACCTGCCCAAGTAGCATTATCAAGACCAAAATCCACCTGACTCACAGCCCAGTGGTCTTTTAAGGACACGATCCTGCCTCTTCTACAGAACCATGTAAGACGCTGAAAAACTTTGGGAAATAAAAGGAGAAATGCAGGCAAATGTTTCTGTAATCCAGCCAGAGACTAAGAGTCCTTGTAGCAGGACAAGTGCAATCCTTTCCAACCTCACAAGGCAAACAGACGATAATAGTTGTCAAAAGACAAAAATTACAAGAAATTTAGTTTAAAATCTTAATTGGCTTATATTTGCATTCTAGAATCAGCCGATGCCTCGTTCTATAAAACAGAATGAGTGCTCTGATGAGCTGAGCTGAGGAGGCTGGCTTTATAGACAGAAAAGGGCTGAAGAAAGCAGAAACACAGAACAAAAAGCGAATTGGTTGTTTCAAAGTTATTTTCCTTGTAAAGGTTAAAGCAGAGAGGACTTCCTCATCATGCCAGCTAAAGCTGGTTTACTTGGGCATTTGGCTATATTAACTGTCTCTCTCTCCTAATTTCTAGGAAAGTCAAATAAGCAACTTAGTTTCAGCTTGGTGGCACGGAACTTCAGCATAAGTGACTCCATGTTGGGTTGATCTGTTGGGCATAGTGCAGGAGCTCAGTCCAAACCAATAGCCTCTTATAAATTTTATTTAACATAGTGATAACAACAATATGACCATGGTAATAATAGAGGCAGCTTACTATGTGCCTGGCACCATTCTAGGGACTTCACAATCTTTTTTTTAATGTCCTAAGTTCTTGAAGGCAAGGGGCTTTACAAATATTAACTACTGTAATTATTATAACGGTATTAAGTGGGTACTATTATTATCCCCACTTTTTAATGAGGCAAGGTTGAGAGGTCAACTAACTTGCCCCAGGCAAGCCCATGAGCACTTCCCACGTGCTAGAAACTAAGTCCAGAAATTGTACTAAGTACGATTAACTCGTTTAATACTCAAAGCAATCCCAAGATACCTGCTATCATTATCAGCACTTTCAGAGGGAACCAACAGAGCTCAAGGCAGCCTGAACCCGGAGCCCGCGCTTAGCCACCAGCTGCGTGGCTGCGGGCAGGGCGAGCTGACCCAGGCTGGGTGCGCGTGGGGCGGGGGCTGGGTAGAGATCTGTTCGCTCGAGTCCTCAGCAAGGGCCGCACTGGACGTCAGCTCTGAGTGTGACCAAGGCCCCCGGCTTCTCCAGATCTGGACGCCCCAGCCCGGGAGCTCCGTGCCAGCGAGCCTCTGAGCATCGCGGGCCGCTACTGCCCCCTGCCGCCGCCCGGGCCTTGCAGGGAGAGCTTGCCCGGAGCAGAGGCGCACGGCCACCGGGCCCCGGCAGCTCCCAGCCACGACCACCCAGAGACCCCGCAGAGGAAGCGGAAGCCGCCGCCCGGCACTTTCTGAATTCCCCTCTCCGCCCTCAGGTCCCTGCGGCCTCCCGTCACCTGCGTCACTTCTCGTGGGCTGGCGGATAGAGCCCGGCGGCTCCCCCACCCACTCGGCTCGCAGCCCACGCTCCCGACGCCCGAGTTGCCATGGTGAAGGACGCGGGAGAAACGCCGGAAGGGGCACGGACCCCAGGGAGAGCGCGGAGGCGGCCACGCGGGTCCTTCCTCCACCTGGGCCCAGGCACTTCCGGTCTCGTAGGCGTCGGGGAAAGCTCTTTGCGGACTTCGCTGCGGGCTTAGGACCTCCGACATGAAGGGAAGCGGGGGCTGGAGGACGCAGAGACTCTCCCTGGGCTGCTCGAAGGCCAAGGCTGTAACGCGGCTCCGGTCCTCGTTTTCCCGCCGTCGGTGCTGGCTGCCTGCAGTTGCCATGGTGACGCGGGCCGCGGGGCAGGGCAAGGTCCCAAGTCGCGTGCAGTTGCTCCTCGCCGTCGCCACTCTCCTGCCCCAGGCTGTGGGTAGCAGACGTCAAAAGAGATACACCAGAGCGCGACCCGGACTCAGGACCGCCCGGGTGGGGGCTGCTTCGGGCATTGGACACACTTCCCGGGCGCCTCGTGACCGCACACTCCTGGCCTCACACCTCGGGGTGGGTTTGCACGAGGGGGGGCCGAGCCCTGTCGCTGAGCGACACTGACCTTCTTAAGGCCACCTAGCTTTGGGTACAATGGATGTCTCATACTGAATTTTAATCAGCTTCTTACTGGAGGACATTAATGTTTGTTCAATCTTCGTTACTACAAAAAATACTAGAGTGGAGTGGTAATATCCTTGTATGTACGTGCACACGTGCAACTTTCTCTGTAAATTTCCAGAAGTAAAATTTCTATGTCAAAGGCCACATGCAATTTTAATTTTCATGAATATGACTAAATTGCTCTTCAAAGACACTAGCAAATTTACATCTCCACCAAAACTGGAGTCCGATAATTTTAATTAGGATTATATCAACAGCGATGAACTGTTGCAAAAGAATTTTCCAGAGCATTTTCCATTAAACCAATTCTTTGATCAGTTTTTTTTAATACAACATAGTTAAATAGTATCCATATCCATTTTTATTTTATGGAAATTGTCTTTACTGAGTGATTCTTTTACATATAAATTTCATGATAAAGATTTTACTTCTTTAAAATTTGTATGTCGAATTTTACTTTGGTTTCCATCATTGTGATATTTTGTATTTCATGCTTATTTTATTGAAAAAGAAAAAAAAAAGGGAACCCCGACATTCAGAAGCTAGCCTGGCATCACAGGTCCACCATGTTATCCTCCTATTGTACGTAGCGTCACAAAATAACAACCTCAGATATGGTTACAGAGAGCCTGATAAAGTGAGACATAGCAAATCTACTTTGAAATTTTGTCTAAGCACAGACAAAAACACAGTCACTGTGCCACTCACAAAATACCAAACACCCGTCTTGGAGAAAATGAGTGACTGCTACTTCTTTTTTTTTTCTCTCTCTTTTTTTTTTTTTTTTTTTTTGAGTCAGAGTCTCGCTCTGTCGCCCAGGCTGGAGTGCAGTGGCAGGATCTCGGCTCACTGCAAGCTCCGCCTCCCAGGTTCATGCCATTCTCCTGCCTCAGACTCCCAAGTAGCTGGGACTACAGGAGCCCGCCACCACGCCCAGCTAATTTTTTGTATTTTTAGTAGAGATGGGGTTTCACTGTGTTAGCCAGGATGGTCTCGATTTCCTGACCTCGTGATCTGCCTGCCTCAGCCTCCCAAAGTGCTGGGATTACAGGCGTGAGCCACCGTGCCCGGCCCCCTGCTAACTAATTACAGTTTTATCTTTCTTCTAGTTTGCCTTCTCTATAGATTAGATTTATTGAGATACCCAATCATGGAATTGGCTCCTGCTTCCTGACCACTTCCAATCTAGGGCGAATCCAACTTCCATAGGCCCTCCTTAAATTACCCATAAAAGCTCAAATCCAGTAATAGGTTCTTTATAACACCTCTTTTCGAAGATACCCCCCCATAGTTCTGTCATGGTATGTACTCTCCCTCAGTGCAACCCAACTTGTTCAACTATAGGTGTGTCCTGGTGGTCTTTGGCTAAAAGGCATTGACACTAGCAAGTTCTATTTTCTTTTCTTTCTGAGACACGGTCTCACCCTCTTGCCCAAGCTGGAGTGCAGTGGCGCCATCAGGGCTCACTGCAGCGTCAACCTTCAGGCTCAAGCAATCTTCCCACCTCAGCCTCCCAACTAGCTGGGACTACTGGCATGCACCACCACGCCTGGTTGATTTTCATTTTTGGAGACAGGCTTTCACTATGTTGCCCAGGCTGGTCTCGAACTCCTGGGCTCAAGGGATCTGCCTGCCTTGGCCTCCCAAAGTGCTGGGATTACAGGCATGAGCCACCATGCCCAGCCGCCATAGTTCCATTTCCTTTGGCAAAATTTTGTGGGTCCAAAAATCTGTCAATGGCAGTCCTCTACAAATGTTTAGTAAGGAGCAAATTTTACGTGGGCAGTCTGTTTTAGTTTGCATTGATTATTTCAACCAGATCTGATTTCCTTTGCTTCTTGTAATTTCCAGTGTTACCTTTAAGATGTGAGTCTTCTGAGTTCATAACAAATTTCACAGGTGCCATCTTAACCATTGTCAGTTTTATTTTGTATGATTTATAGACAAATCATACAAAATAAATGACTACCGGTGATAGTCATTATGAATCAGACAGAAGGTTGATAATTTTTTCATCTGCTTCTTGACTCAAGAACCTTCAGTAGGGCAGTGATGTAGGACCTGGATACGCAGCAAAGTAAAAATGATCTGCTTCAACCGGCAGGCTTGCTGTGTGCGCCATGCCCTTTACCAGGCACTGGGAACACAGGTCCTGCCATGAAAGTAATTCACAGTCTAATCAGAGCGATATAGGAGCTGGCTGGCCTCAACGTGCCAGATGGATGAGAATGAAAAGGGCCTTCCAAATGGAGGAAACAGCCAAATGCAACGAGTTTATTTATTCATTAAATATTTATCGAGTACTTACTTTGTGCCAGGAATTGGGCTGAGCATTGGGGATGCAGGAATGAGCATCTTCCATGTGGCCCCTGCTCTCCAGAAGCTCTTGGTCTGGTGGGGGAGATGCATATGAAACAATCGCTCCAGTGACTGCAATGTGTAATAACCACTGCAGAGAAAATCCAGAATTCTGTGGGAGCCTGGGACAATGGTAACCTGACAAGTGGGGGTCAAGGAGAGCTTCACTGAGAAACTCACTTTTAATCTGTGTGAAGGATGAGACAGACAAAGAGGAGGTTGTTCTTGGCAGAGGACACAATTCATGCCCTGAAGTGGGAAAAGACTTGACCTTTCTCATGGGATGAAAGCAAGCCAGTGTGGCTGGAATGAAGTGGGTTGGAGGAGGCTGTTGGAGTATGAATGAGGTGGACCGATATCTGATCCTGCAAGGGCTTGTCCACCATCCTAAGTTGTTTGCGTCTTAATTCAAAAGCAAGAAGTCAGGGAAGAGTATCAAGATAAGGGGTGGGGTGATTAGATTACAAATGCATTTTACTATGTCTATGGGAGAATGGATTGGGCGGCGGCAGGGGGGATGATAAACATCATGGAACCAATAAGAAGGAGAACACTGTAGTTGTTTACGGGAGCAACAATCACAATTGACCAGGTAGCACTCAGAGGAGGGAAATATCCATTGGAGCACTGAGGGTGGAAATGAGATTAGAATGGATTGAGGAGTGTGTGAGGTGAGGAATATCGGTGAAAAATATGAGAAACAACTGAGTTATGGACTGAATTGTGCACCCCAAAATTCATCTTAACTCCTAATGATTTTGAATGCCACTATATTTGGAGATAAGGTCTTTAAAGAGGTAATTAAGGTTGAATGAGGTCATATGGGTAATGACCTCATATTGACCTCATCCAATATGACTAGTATCCTTCTAAGAAGAGAGACACCCAGGGTGCACACACAGAGGAAAGACCATGTGGGGATACACTGAAAAGATTGCCATCTGCAAGCCAAGGAGAGAGGCCTCAGGAGAAACCAAGCTGCCAACACCTTGATTTTGGATTTCCAGCTTCTGAAACTGTCAGAAAATACATTTCTGTTGTTTAAGCCACTCAGTCTGTGGTATTTTGTTATGGGAGTCCTGGCAGATTAATATGAACCCAGATGTCCATATAATGAACAGTTGGGAAATAAATTATAATGCATCCATACTATGGGAAAGAGTCTTACCCTAAAATATGCCCATGCAAGTTCAAGACTTTGACTTTAAAAGGAGTTTAATTTCCATTAAATTTCTTTTCTTTGGCTTGTGAGGATTTCACTGCATTAGCAAAGACTGCTATTGAGCCTCTGGAGCAGCCTCCACATGGTCTTCTCTATGGTGACATAGTTGGTGCGGGTTGTAAGTAACAGACTCAGGCATCACTTGCATTGTTTCCTTTGTCTCTCTTATACTGCTTTTTAAAAAAATTTTTATGACTTTGAGAATCATGTGTGTATTTTGTTTCTGAAATTGTGCAGTAACTGTGTACCATCGGTTGAAATAGTAATTATCTTTTCCGTTTATGAAAATTCACCCTATGAATTTTCTTAGGAACAAACTAACCTTGTAATGAGAGGGATGACTGCGGAACTCTATGCAAATATTTAAAAGAATAAGGTAGGGAAAAATGAGGTAGAGCTAAATATAGTGACATGAAAAGATGCCCAAACCATATGGCTGAGTGAAGAAAAGAGGTGTATGTAGATTATGAAGCTTTTTTTGTTTTTTGAGTTTGTTTTTGTTTTTTTAGACAAGGTCTCATTCTGACTCCCAGGCTCGAGTGCAGTGGTGTGATCATGGCTCACTGCAGCCTCAATCACCTGGGCTCAAGCGATCCTCTTACCTCAGCCTCCCAAGTAGCTGGGACTACAGGCGCATGCTACCACGCCCAGCTAATTTATGTATTTTTTATACAGATGGGATTTTGCCATGTTGGCCAGGCTGGTCTTGAACTCCTGGCCTCAAGTGATCTGTGCACCTCGGCCTCCCAAAGTGCTGGGATTATAGGTGTGAGCCACTGTGCCCGGCTCTCTTTTTGTTTTCTAATACATATAACTATTTGTTAGTAGATGCTTAGGGGAAAAAAATCTGGAAACAGATACAGCCAATTTTTAAAGTATTGTAAAAATCATATCATTTAGGGGTCTCGGTTTTGCCAAATGAGCCCTGTTGATGAGTTGATAACCTCCTCTAGCAGGGAAACTGTAACACATGGTAATACACCGAAGGCCAAGAAGTCAGTGAAAGAGCCACGGGCTACCACTCTGACGCCCCCATGCTTACCACCCATGACACATGACCCAGTGTGGCCTTTGGGGTCAGGCCATGTAGCAAACACTAGTAAAACTTAGTATCTCTCCTAGTTTCAAATAAACATAACCATGAATATAAGTCCTAATATTTTCTCATCCCAATGGACCATCTTGAGCGAACACTGATATTTCTATAACTCTACAGATAGAGCACTCTACAAATGGATTGGAGGGTGATTCATTAGCATAGTATGTATATGCAATCAGAATACAATTTTGTGTATAAAACATCCACTGTGTATGATTCAGGGAACACAATTGTTCCGAGAAAGGAAGCACCAACACTATCAGGTATTTGTTTTCTGAGAAAGGAGGAAGATAGACTTTGATGATCTCTAGGATGACTTCCCACTGACTCTCTAAAACCCCTGGACCTCTCTAAGCCATTGAGGAAGCAGTTGAAGTGGCTGTAGTGGAATGAAGTGGTCTCTTTAAAGAAAATTGTATCCAGAGTGACTGTTAACCAGTGTGATACATGGCAGTCTTTGAAATAAATGTCTTTAAAGTCATTCAGTGTGATTCTATGTAGCTCTTCCACATTGAAGATGTTCTGTTTTATAAAAACTTAAATTTAATAAAAGAATTTAATAACTATCCCCTTATGATACATCAAATATTACTTTTCAGACTTTTAGCTACTTCTCCTGGAGGCAGAGTTTCCATAAAGAAGTCTCAGCTAAATGCTAAGCACTGTTACCAAGCAAAGAAATGAAAATTGAACATCGCCAAAGCAATTGTGTACATTTTTGGAAAATAATTTTATTTGTCAGAATGAAATTCACAGGCCTTTTAAGCAAAAAGTAGGCACATGATTAAAATGGCATTGAATTAGAAGAAAAAAGTTAATCAAGCAATCTTTATTGAAACCGTCTGTGCTAAGGTTTGTGAAGGAAGCATTGTAATCCTGGCTGACATTTATCATGACATTTATTGTATCTTGTGCCAAGCGGACCCAGATCAAAAGGTGGGTTATCTGTGCAGCTGCCCAAAGCACTAATCCATAAGCAGCACTGAAATGTCAAGGGAACAAATGGGAAATTGGTGCCAGTTACCTGAGCATTTCACAGGATTCCTTCAAAGTTGGCAAACTAAGTGGTTTCACTCCCACCAATTGTAGGCAGCAGATTCGAGTGATGTGACAGGGAGTAGGGGTGTGTTGGGGAAGGGGATGAGGTCAGAACTTTCAAGCTGGGACTACCGGAAGGTGGAGGAGGAGCGAGCGTGTGGGGACATCAGGCACAAGGACAGCGGTGCAGACAACCCCATCCCAGGTGATGAGGGGCTGGAGCACAGGGAACCTGGGAGAGAGGCGCCAGTGAGGTCGGGCGGTAGTCGGAAGCCACAGGAAATAATTTTAATATTACCTGAGCTGTGATGGGAAAACATTGACGTTTTCAACAGGGAAGTGGCATGAGCTGACTCACCTTTGAAAAGACCCATTTGGCTAACGGCTGGAGAACGGCTCCAGGAAGGCAAGAGTAGAGGCAGAGAGTGCATAATGAGAGGCCATGGAGGTGAGAAGTGATGGTGATGCACTCGGGATGATACTTCTCGTTAGAGCCAGCAGGGTTTGCTGAATACAATAGTTGCTTCCTAACTGGGCAGGGCTGGGCTGGGGCTTCCATGCTCAGTCTCCTACACAGCAGCCTCCTGGCAGCAGCCAGAGAGATTTTTCTAAAATATAAATCAGAATGTTACCTTAAAACCTTCAAGTGAAATAACCTAAATGGTTCCCAATAGGGAACTGGGTAAATAAATAACAGTACCTTATGCAATGCAATACCATGCAGTCAAGACAAACAAATGACCATGCAAACACTCTACCAATACCGCCACAAATGCTCTCCAAGACAAGAATTCAAAAAAACAGAGTGTGAATATTATGCTACCATTTGTAAAAGAAAAAGGGAGGATGCATGTGTGTGCACGTTTGATTTTGTATGTGTATAACATCTCTGTAAGAAAACACAAGAACCTTGTACCTAAATGGCTTCCAGGGAGAAGATCTGGACAGTAAGGGGATAGGGTGGGAGGGAGACTCTCTGCCTTTGGTGCTTTTGAGTTTTGAATCCTACGACTCTAAATAGTCGTATCATCAGTTTAACAATAAGTCAAATTAAAATTTTTACTTGAATTTGGCCGGGTGTGGTGGCCCATGTTTGTAATCCCAGCACTTTGGGAGGCCAAGGCAGGAGCATTACTTGAGGTCAGGAGTTCAAGACCAGCCAGGCCAACAGGGTGAAACCCCATTTCTACTAAAAATACAGAAATTAGCCGGGTGTAGTGGCGCGCACCTGTAATCCCAGCTACTAGGGAGGCTGAGGCAGAAGAATTGCTTGAACCTGGGAGGCGGAGGTTGCAGTGAGCCGAGATTGTACAACTGCACTCTAGCCTGGGCGACAGAGCCAGACTCTGTCCCCCACCCCCCACAAAACTTTTTTACATTAATTAAATAACTAACTCAGTTATCTCACTTCCTGTCTTCACTTAACAGAAAATCTAGACTCCTCAGCTACAAGGCCTCGTAACTCAGCCTGCCTGTCTCTGCCTTCATCCTCTAGCACTTTCTCACTGAGTTCCAGCCACACCAGCCTCCTCTTGATCCTCACCATGGCGAGCTTCGTTCCTTCTGAGGAGTTTTGCCCTTGCAAAGAGGAGGTCTGTGCTTTGACCTCTCAGGATAGCCCTATATGGCTCTGCTCAGAAGTCACTTCCTCAGAGAGGACTTTCCCAACCTCGATTTAAATTTGCTACCCCTCACCTTCATTATTGAAAACCCATGTTCCAGCCGGGCACGGTGGCTCACGCCTGTAATCCCAACGTTTTGGGAGGCCGAGGCAGGCGGATCACTTGAGGCCAGGAATTTGAGACCAGCGTGGCCAACATAGCAAAACCCTGTCTCTACAAAAATTAGCTGGGCATGGTGGTGCGTGCCTGTAGTCCCAGCTACTCAGGAGGCTGAGGTAGGAGAATCTCTTGAACCCAGGAGGCGGAGTTTGCAGTGAGCTCAGATTGGACCACTGCACTCCAGCCTGGGTAACAGAGTCAGATCCTGTCTCAAAAAAGAAAAGAAAAGAAAAGAAAACCCATGTTCTACTGTCTTCACAGCACTTGCCTTATCTGAAATTATGTCATTTACTTGCTTATTTATTGTATGTCTCCCCATTATGCTCAGCTACCACCATCATCTTGATGCCAGGTGCCAGGAATGGTGCCAGGCTCATACTAGACAGCAAATATTTATTAATGAATGAATGAGTATTTTTCTTTTTACTTCAATGTCTTGGTGGTCCTTACTGTCATCATATTTTTAATAGCTCTCGTATTATTTTATAGTGTATAGGGACAGCATACAGACTACAGTTTTAATCCT
The DNA here is from genome assembly GCF_000001405.40 of Homo sapiens. Taxonomy (NCBI): domain Eukaryota; kingdom Metazoa; phylum Chordata; class Mammalia; order Primates; family Hominidae; genus Homo; species Homo sapiens. Next base: position 2,198,795 of record NC_000020.11, on the reverse strand, counting down.
GGCTTTGCTTCTTTTTACATCTCTGACCTTGGGCAAGTCACGAACCTCACTGGATTTTGTAAAGATTGAAAAAAGATCCAAGGAATAAAGAGCTGGCTCTGAAAAGCCTCAGTGTGAACAGGATGAATGGGAAGGACTGCTGCCTATTTCAGGATGAGGAGATGGTTCTAGTCAGGGCAGGTGACCTGCCCAAGGTCACGTAACCAGGGGCCCAGAGGTCTCCACTTCCTGGGCTTCTGACTCCATGCTCTGTGCGTGATTGTTGGCGTTTTTTCCTTATCATTTCTAATCCTACAAGAGCCCCTGCCTCTCCTCCACTGGGAATGGAGTCTACGTTTATGATCAACAAATAACCCTCATTACTGGGAATTGGTAGCTTGTCTTTTGATTTTCTTCTTGTAAATGAGTGATATGTTTGGGCCTGGAAAACAGTACACAGAGTTTCTAGACAACATCATGAAATTAAATGCTGTGACACACTGACTTAGGGAAGCTGTTCATCTCGCCGTTTCTTAAAAGGAATGAAACGGTCGATCAGCTTTGCCTCTGCATATTTATTTGTTATAACTGATAGAAACACTAACATTTGGAGCCAGAGAATTGAACCTGCATTCTAACCTAAGTGCCTAAATACAAAGTCATTTTCCAGACATCGTGTTCATATTTTATTTTCTCAATCTAGACTGTAGTCCGCAGGAATAAGGGCTGGATTTGTAATGACCTGGAGGAGGTTGTGAATCTCTGAAATTTGACAACAGATGTCACTAGTGCCACATTGCTCACAGAGCCATCATGCTACCTGGCATTTCAGAATTCATACATTTTCTTTGGCATAATAAAATATTTTTATGAAAATGCAGCAGCTTGTTGTAAAAAATGTCTGCCTCCTGTGCCAGGCACTAATACCATGTCTGACCTCATTTATCCCTGCAATGGCTTTAGGAAGTCACAACATAACCCCCATTTTATAGGCAGGGAAACAGGCTTAGAATGGCCTAGTATTACCTAAGGTCATACAGAAAATGACCCATGCCTATTTGTCTCCAAAGCTGTGTTCTTCCCATGCTATCTTTGATTAAAGTTCAGCATCGCTATAAACAGCCCCCGAAGTGTGCCATCCTTGAAGGGCGTCTACCTTGCAGCCGTCCATCTGAGCCAATTAGAGCTACTCAAATTAGGAGTGTTGCACTGAAGCAGATGAATAGAGGCGGAGTGGGCTGAAATACAGAATTTAATCGAGCAAAATGATGGCACAGAAGTTCCCAGAAGCAGAATCCCAATAGGCCCCCTAGCCTGCAGCTCCCTGATGCTAAGTCACTGACATTTGAAAAACTTGCTCCTTAACAAATTATGCATCCCATTTTCTTTTTCCACCTCCACTCTGTGAAGCAGCAATCAGCTTTGTCATTCATTCTTCAGGAAACTAGCCAGGATACGCCAGGGAGAGTGCAACTGAGAGCTTAAGATGTCTCTTTCTTGAAAAATCTTGGAACAAAGAAGCTGTTGTTGTGCCTTTGACTCATGTCACTTTTTAATACGGTGTGGAGAACGTGTTCGTCGTACCATCAAAACCCACATGAGGTTGGGGATGGAAGAGGGGGAGGCATGGAGGTCATTCTCGGTGTTTGGGGGTGCAAGGAGGGCACCAACATTTACTATTCTCTACCTGTGGGTCAAGTGCCTTACACATGTGCTCCCATTTAATCCAATGGCCCTGCTAAATAGCTGTGTGTGCCCTTCCCATTTCAAGGATGGAGAATGAGAGGCTGAGAGGTCATAGGACTTAGTCAGGATGCAGAGTCTGGATTTAAATCAAGTCCCCCTGACTGAAACCATCTCATTCCGCTGTGAATCCCCATCCTTTGTATTACCAGTGCCAGGCCCTCCTCCATGCCCTTCTCCATGGTAGATCACCAGAGATGTGACTCCCACATCCAAGCTCTGATCTAGGCTGGGCAACCATGGATGGCCACGCCATCCCTCTGATCCTCAGTTTCCAATGATAAAAGTCGAATGTTAGTTGTTAAAGGCTCAAATCAGACATGGTCTATTCAACATCGTTGCTGGAGTTCCTGCCTTGGGTTGGGCGTTAGTGCCAAGCATAGAGGAGCAGAGAGACTTACACTTGTTCGTGGGGGGCTAGCTGATATTTTGCAATCTATAAAGCACCATCCAAAAGTAAGTTACTGTGAAGTGAATATCGTTACCTCCCTGAAATGTGGAGGAGGTTCCTTTTCGTACGGTATCCTAAGACCAGGTTGGAATTTTTCAAATAGAGCATCAACTAAGAAACTAGAGAAAAATATACCTCCGAAAAGCAAAGAAATAAGAGAGTTTGCCAAATTCAGGGTCTCACCCTTTAAAAGCCTTTAAGTCTAGTGGACAATTATATGGGCAACGGGTGAGAGGACAGGAGGAAGAGAGTTTTCCCCTCCAGGGGTCCAGATGCGATTTTGGTGCAGAGTGTCTCTGCTGCCCACTTCTTGTTGGGACTGCTTTCTTTGCTCAGGCAAAGGACTTCTGCCTGTTTATTAATCAGTTCATCATCCATAGATTCATTCATTTATTCATCATTCATTCATTCATTCATGTCACTTCTCCTATATCCAACATTTAGCATTGACAGCTTACATGCTACAACTAACTTCAAAAGAATAATTACTGTTCAAACACAAAGAAAGGATGCTTTTTCACATGAAGGTACTTACAACAGGAAGCTGCAAGTGTAAAATTTCTCTGTGATTCTGTTTCCTCCATTAACCCAGCTCTGTTCCCCACATAGGGCTCCTCACTCCACAGGTATTAATAATCAGGGAAGGAAGGAAGAGAGAGAACAGGGCCATATTTGACAAATGGGAACCCAGGAGGGTTAAGCCCACCAGAGTCGTCTGGGTGACTCTGAGGCCGATTCTGGTAGTGCGGAGGAAGTGTCCAGTGCGGACTTGGCCCTCTGGAGGAGACAGAGCCACCAGGAGCCCACAGCCACATGGTGGAGCACTCCTGGCATGCCAGGGGTGGGGCAGAGGGCTGAGGGCTCTGTGCACCAGGGCATCTGCACCCTTCATTCCATTAGTATGTGAGGCTCCACTGGCTCCCAGCAAAGTACTTTGCTCAGGGCCCCACTGGCACTGAGTAATACAAACCCGAACTGCAAGGTGATTCAAACCCAGACTCATTTAACTCCACTCTGCTCTCCAGACTACTCTGCACAAAAATCACCCAGAGGCAATGGTTTAAAAAAAAATGCAGAATCCAGAGCCTCATCTGCTCCCTCAGCTTAGGATCCTGCAGATCTGGGCTGGGGAGCAGAAATCCGCATTTTGGCTGGGGCGGGGGGGACGGAGTCTTACCTTGTCGCCAGGCTGGAGTGCAGTGGCGCAATCTGGGCTCACTGCAAACTCCGCCTCCCGGGTTCAAGCAATTCCCCTGCCTCAGCCTCCTGAGTAGCTGGGACTACAGGCGCACACCACCACGCCCAGCTAATTTTTTGTATTTTAGTAGAGACGGGGTTTCACCATATTGGCCAGGATGGTCTCGATCTCCTGACCTCGTGATCCACCCACCTTGGCCTCCCAAAGTGCTGGGATTACAGGCGTGAGCCACCGCACCTGGCCAGAAATCCTCATTTTTGACAAGTAGCCAGGTGATTCTGATAAGGGCTGTCCACTCTGACCCGGGTACAAACAAGGAGGGTTCAACACACCTGAGCGTTCGTCAGAATGACTTCAGAAAAACCTGAGCAAAGATTAACTCAACACTACTATGTACCAGGCACTCTTCTGAGGACAAGGGAACTCACTAAATCTTCCTGGCAAATTCATGAAGTGGGAGCTGTCATCATCTCTTACCTCATATTCTATTATATTACAATAATTGTATTATATGTTATAAATCAGGAAAGGGAGCAATGTAAACTGAGGTCAAGGAAGACCTCTCTGACATATAAATGAGGAAACTGAGGAATACAGGGGATACCTAACTTGCTCAATGCCCTGGAACTTTTTTTTTCTTTTTTTTGAGACAGTCTTGCTCTGTCACCCAGGCTGGAGTACAGTGGCACCACCTTGGCTCACTGCATCCTCTGCCTCCTGGGTTCAAGAGATTTTCCCACCTCAACCTCCCAAGTAGCTGAAATTACAGGCGTGCGCCAGCACGCCAGGCTAATTTTTGTATTTTTAGTAGAGACAGGGTTTCACCATGTTATATTTTTAGTAGAGAGGGGGTTTCGCCATGTTTCAAGACCTGTCTGGCCAACAAGATGAAACCCTGTCTCTACTAAAAATACAAAAATTAGCTAGGTGTGGTGGCTCATGCCTGTAATCCCAGCTACTCAGGAGGCTGAGGCAAGAGAATCACTTGAACCCTGGAGGAGGAGGTTACAGTGAGCTGAGATCACACCACTGCCACTCCAGCCTGGGTGACAGAGCAAGACTCTGTCTCCCAAAAAAAATAAATAAATAAAAATTAAAAAAGAAAAATAAAAAAAAAATGCATCACCTGTATTGCAGGAAATTCAGTCAGGCCCCGCCCCAGACTCGCTGAATCAGACACTGTGGGTGCGGGACTCAGCCATTTGGGTTTCATCTCAGCTTCAGGTAATGCCAATGCCTGCCCAGGTGTGAGAACCACTGAGCTATTAATAGATCATCTCGTGGGTAGGTGGGTGATGTCCTGCAACCCCCAAGTTGGCCTCCACCACGTCCTCTTGGCCTTGAGGTTTCTGAGGGTTTTTCTTCATCTCCTAGTTGAGTTCTCCAGTTCATTCCACACATAATCAATAGATTGACAGAGCGGAGTGGGGGAAGGCGGAATTCAGAACGTTCTTCTGTTTTGAAAACAATTCTGCAGCCAGAAGCACCTCCAGAGAGAGACATCCTGAGTGAATGTGACAGCGGCCTGCTTGACCCGCCTGAGGTGTGGGCGAATGGGCACAAGTGGCTCTTAAACGGACTCATTTCTGGCTCCATTGTTTCTGAATGCAGGCTTCTGGCAGGACCTCAAAGAGGTGGCTCCAAACCAGTTTAAGCACACAGCGACAAAGGTGTGCAGCTGTCAACTTGCTTGCCCTCTGAGGTTGGGGTGTGATGCCCTGCACCCTGCCCTCAGGCTAAAGCCCAGGGCCTTCCTGCCCTTCCGCAAGTATGTGCCCTTCCCGTGCTTAGAATGTTCTTCCCCAGGTCTTTGCAGAGGTCTGCTCTGTCACTGTATGAAGGTCTCTGTTCAAATGCCACCTCATCAAGAAGCCTCCCTGGCCACTGTAGCCAAAGTAACCTCCCCCCAGCCCCATTCTACTCAATCTATTTTAGTTTTCTCCCTCTTGACATTATTCAACCTACTTATCTGTTTCTTTTTCTTCCTTTTTTTTTTTTTTGAGACAGAGCCTTGCTCTGTCGCCCAGGCTGGAGTGGAGTGGCACGATCTCGGCTCACTGCAATCTCCACCTCCTGGGTTCAAGTGATTCTCCTGCCTTAGCCTCCTGAGTAGCTGGGACTACAGGAACACACCACCACACCTGGCTAATTTTTGTATTTTTAGTAGAGTTGGACAGGGTTTCACCATGTTTGCCAGGCTAGTCTCAAGCTCCTGACCTCAAGTGATCCACCCACCTTGGCCTCCCAAAATGCTGGGATTACAGGTGTGAGCCATGGTGTCCGGCCTGTTTCTTATATATTCACTCAGTCCCCCACAACCAGAATATATTTCATGAAAGCAAAGACTTTGTTTTGCTCACCACTGAATCCCCACCTGCTAGAACAATAGTAAACACGTTAGAGACTGAATAAATCTTTGATGAATAAATGGATGAGGCTATCAAGATAAACTTGGCTGAAGTAACCAGCTGCATTGGGCAAGTTTCAACACAGCTTTGGGATTCCTGCCCTTGGCCTGGTGCTACAGTCCAGGTCAGAATGAATAATCTTTCATTCATATTCCAAAAAATATTAAGTGAATCCTTACCAGGTACAAGGCTCTAACTAGGCATTAGAGATATAATGATTATCAAAAACAAGCAATGCTCCTGGAGCTTACAGTCCAAATGCTACCAAACAAGCACACAAACAAATTATGAACTTGGGGCAAGGAAAGGTAACTGCTGCCCCGAATCCCTCTAATGGAAGGATCGTGAATGTGGGGCAAGGAAAGGTAACTGCTGCCCTGAATCCCTCTAATGAAAGGACTTGATCTGGTTTGGGGAGATAGGGAGAGCTGCCCCAAGGAAGTGACGAATAAGCAGGAGTTAAGAGTGGAGAGGAGTGGGGCCGGGCACAGTGGCTCACGCCTGTAATCCCAGCACTTTGGGAGGCCGAGGCGGGAAGATCACGAGGTCAGGAGATCGAGACCATCCTGGCTAACACGGTGAAATCCCATCTCTACTAAAAATAAAAAAAAATTAGTCGGGCATGGTGGCGGGCGCCTGTAGTCCCAGCTACTCGGGAGGCTGAGGCAGGAGAATGGCGTGAACCCGGGAGGCGGAGCTTGCAGTGAGCCGAGATCGCGCCACTGTACTCCAGCCTGGGCGACAGAGCGAGACTCCGTCTCAAAAAAAAAAAAAAAAAGTGGAGAGGAGGAAGGATGACGGGGAGAACATTCTAGACAGAGTGAACAGTATATGGAAAGGTCCTATGGCAAGATAGAGAAGCCTGGTAGTGTGAGGGAGCAGAAGGACGCTAGAGTGTCTGGAGCAGAGACAGCAACAGGGAGGGGTGATCTGAGAGAGCCCGGATGGGTGAGGTTCATCAGTCATAATAGGGGATTTTGCTTTGATCCTAAGAGTGGATTAGAACCACTGATACATTTTAAACTGGGGTGGCAATGGTAGGTGGGTGAAATGATCAGATTTTTGTTTTAAAAAGGTATCTATGGCAAACGATTTTGCATGCATATATTGAACTCAGAGGGCCATATATACACATATTATAGATGGTAGGTAAGAACTCTAGAACGGAACACCTAGGTGCAAATCCCGGCTTTATTACTTACTATCTGTGTATCCTTGGGGAAATTATTTAACCTGTCTATCCCTCAGTTTTGTTTTGTGCAAAATGGGGATTGGCCGGGCGCCGTGTGCTCACACCTGTAATCCCAGCACTTTGGGAGGCTGAGCCGATGGAGGACTTGAGGTCAGGAGTTGGAGACCAGCCTGGCCAACATGGTGAAACCCTGTCTCTACTAAAAATAAAAAAATTAGCTGGGCGTGATGGTGCATGCCTGTAATCCCAGGTACTCGGGAGGCTGAGGCAGGACAATTGCTTGAACCTGGGAGGTGGAGGTTGCAATGAGCCGAGATTGCTCCACTGCACTCCCGCCTGGGTGACAGAGTGGGACTCTGTCTCAAAAATAAAATAAAAAAAGAAAGATGAGGATAATGATAGTTAATGGTAGTACTTATCCTGTAGGGTAACTGTGAGGCTGACAGCAGCTAATAATACATGTAAGGAGTTTAGAACAGTGTTTGACTCACAGTATACATTCAATAATGTTTGTTACTATTATTATAACATTTAATGTTGACTAGTATTGTTATGCTATTGAGCAGATGAAAAACTGAAGTACAGAGAAGTTAAAGCATGTGCCCAACCTTTTTAGGCAAAGTAACAGAGACAAAATTCAAACCCTAAGCCCTACATTATCAGACTTCTCGGTAGCAGAGATAAATAGGACCGGTTGGGTAGGTCAGTTCCCGGTCCGAAGCACCAAAATGAATCAAGGACATTTGTGGGGACAGACCAAAAGGCAAATAGCTCTAAAGTAATTAAGCTACCCTGACAATAGTTATTCATTAGTTTGCCAATATTTTATACGTATACTAAGTAACAGCCCCAGTGCTGGAGAGTGGAAATTCTAAGACAAAATAGACATGTGATCTTGACTTAAAGAGACCACAGTCTAGTAGAAGAGATATGCCAATAAACAGAAAAATGGAGCACTAAAGTGTCACAGGTGTTGTGAATGAATATCTTTTAGGCTAGGCCTTACCTGCTGTCACCTTTCTAGATGGAAAAAAACTCTGCTGGCCTTGGTTCAGTCCTCATTAAGTTAGGATCAATCAGGACGCTATTGGCCATGAGCAACAGAAATGTACAATAAGGATTTTAAAAAAAAATTTTAATGTTTATTTACTTACTTATTTTGTTGAAACAGAGTCTCGCTCTGTCACTCAGGCTGGAGTGCAGTGGTGTGATTTCTGCTTACTGCAACCTCCACCTCCTGGGTTCAAGCGATTCTCCTGCCTCAGCCTCCCAAGTAGCTAGGATTACAGGCGTCCACCACCATGCTCAGCTAATTTTTTGTTTTGTTTTGTTTTGTTTTGTTTTGTTTGTCTGTTTGTTTTTTGAGATGGAGTGTCCCTCTGTTGCCAGGCTGGAGTGCATGGCACAATCTTGGCTCACTGCAACCTCCGCCTCCCGGGTTCAAGCGATTCTCCTCACTCCGCCTCTCGAGTAGCTGGGACTACAGGCGCATGCCACCATGCCTGGCTAATATTTATATTTTTAGCAGAGACAGGGTTTCACCATGTTGGCCAGGATGGTCTCGATTTCTTGACCGCATAATCCACCCGCCTCGGCCTCCCAAAGTGCTGGGATTACAGGTGAGAGCCACTGTGCCCAGTCAGGAATTTTTTTTAACCTCACATAACAAGAAATTGAAGAAGTCAGTAGGCAGGGTTGGCTAATTAAAAGATCTGAGTCCCATCTTTGAAACAATTTCTGGAATAGCCGTCTGAGGAGCTGTGTAGATATTTCCCTGGTGAAAAAAACTGTACCTTGTAAAAATTATTTTTAAAAAGAAGCATTTATAGTCTCTGGAAACTGTCTTAAAGATATATAGCAAATAGAGCAGGCACGGTGGCTCATGCCTGTAATCCCAGCACTGTGGGAGGCCGAGGCAGGCAGATTACGTGAGGTCAAGAGTTTGAGACCAGACTGACCAACATGGTGAAACCCCATCTCTACTAAAAATACAAAAATTAGCTGGGTGTGGTGGCACACACCTGTGTAATCTCAGCTACTTGGGAGGCTGAGGCAGGAGAATCTCTTGAACCTGGGAGGCGGAGGTTGCAGTGAGCCGAGATCATGCCACTGCATTCCAGCCTGGGCGACAGAGTGAGACTCCATCACTCTATCACTCACTCTAGGAAAAAAAAAAAAAGAAGAAGAAGAAAGGCATATAGCAAATAAAGAAACATTTCATGGTAAGAATAGCATGCATCTGGGGTATCTGAGCCATAGCCTGTTCCTTTCCGCTTCCCCCAGCTCAGCACGATGAAGCTCTGCCACAGGTGGGTGCAGACAAGAACATAGGATTTCCTCTTCCCCCAGAGGGCAGGAATATTGCAGGTTACCAGAAACACTTATTCCCCTAGCTCTATGTTGTAGAAGCTAAATTCCAGGCAAGAGCAGCTGAGAGATCTGGAGTTCCTTTCTCTACCCAGTCCCCGCTCACTCACAGGGTAGGAGCTCTACCCGAGACTTGTCAGTCTGAGAATACTGGGACCCTGATTGCCCTCGTTTCATGTTGCTCATAAGGGAGAAGTTCTGCACTGAGAGAGGCAAACTGAGCAGACCAGAGACAACCACCACCACAAGCACACTACTTGTAAAGTCTGGATATTGCTGCAAGAGGAAGAGGCTGCTGTCTTTACCCCTAGCTCTGAAGCAGTGGTGTAGAGATTTTGTCTAGAGGGAGAGAGAGGCCTTCAGAACAGAGAGCTTCAATGTTCTCCCCTAGGGGAACAGGCTTTATTGTGAACAGAGTGTAGAGGGAAGTTCAAATCAAATGATATGAACAAAATATGAATGTGGGGCAAGGAGAGGTAACTGGTGGTAATTAAACAATGGATCTTTTGGTGGTAAGAAATTACGAGGAGACAAGTAGCTTCTTGAAAAAAAGAAGCTAAACCTAAACCATCTAGTAGTTTAACACGAATAATCAGGGAAAGAGACAGTTAAGAAAAGCTCTTTGGGATCAGAACAAGACTCAAAAACTGGCCTTAAAGACTACCCCTGTAAAGGGGCCCAAATATCACAGAATCCTATTGTAGAGCAATTTTTGCCTCACAGCACTGTCAAAAACAATAGAACAATCAACCATCAATTGGTAGAAGCTAATATCTAGGTATGATACCAACAGAGGCAGACAGCATAACAGAGATAAAGGAAAAAGACAGTCAAAGAGAGCCCTGCTAAAACCAGTGGCATCCTAGAGAGGCTGTGCTCATGCCCAAGGCTGAGCTCTTTGAGGAACAACATCAGATGCTGCACCCTGTGAGGGAAATAGACTTTCCTGAAATATAAAAAGAATATTTATTATGGAAGAAAGCTTTATTTCTCTTGTCCTTTCATATTGGGAGAAATATTGAATACATAGAAAGAGTGCTGGATTGCTCTAGCAAAGTTACTAACCAAATAAACAAGCAAACAACAAATCTGTGGGAGCATGGAGAACTGGTATTCAGAGTTGCTACAACATATTATCTAAAATGTCCACTTTTCAAAAAAATTGTTCAGTACCATAGGAAAGGTAAAAAAAAAATTGTGAGACATGCAAAGAATTATATAAATATGTGGAAAAGCAACAAAACACTCTAAAGCAGCACTCAGATTGAAATTTATAGCTGTTAACATGTATATTCAAAAAGAAGAAAAACCTCAAATCAACAGCCCCATGTTCCACTTTAAGAAACAAGAAAAAGAAGAGCAAACTAAAGCTAAATGAAAGAAATAGTAAATATAGAGTAGAAAGAAGTGAAATAGACAGAAAAACAATAGAGAAAAACCCAACAAAACCCAAACTAGTTCTTGGAAAGATGAACAGCATTGATAAACTTTTAGCTAGATTGATCAAAAAACAAAAAAGAGAGAGAAAAACTCACATTACTAAAATGAGGAATCAAAGGGGGGACATTACAAAATCTAAAAAGGAATATTGTTAACAATTATATACCAACAAATTAGGTAAACTAGATGAAACACACAGACTCCTAAAAAGAAACAACCATCAAAACCGTCTCAAGAAAAAATAGAAAATCTGATAGATCTATAACAAGTAAAGATACTGAATCAGAAAACTTATCACAAAGAAAAGTTCTGGCTCAGATGGCTTGGTAAACTCTATCAAATGTTTAAGGAAGAATTAACATCAATCTCTCACAAACTCTTCAAAAAAATATAGAAAGAGAGAACACTTCCCAACTCCTATGAAACCAATATTACCCTGATACTAAAATCAGGCAAAGACATTACAAGAA